>NC_000008.11:45345032-45500772 GCF_000001405.40 Homo sapiens
AAAGGGCTGAGGGCTGCAGTTTTAAATAGTTTGGTCAGAGGTCAGTTTGAGGTGATGTTTGAGCAAAGACAAGGAGGGGAAGGAGCAAGCCCTAAGCATGTGGGGTGGGGTGGGGGGAGGCAGGCCTATGGTGAAAAAGGAAATATCTTCCCATAAAAACGATATAGAAGAGCTATCTCAGGAACTTGTTTATGATGCATCTAATCAACTAACAGTGTTGAACCTTTGTACTGACAGAGCAGTTTGAAACACTCTTTTTTTGGAATCTGCAAGTGGATATTTGGATCGCTTTGAGGATTTCGTTGGAAACGGGATGCAATATAAAACGTACACAGCAGCATACTCAGAAAATACTTTGCCATATTTCCATTCAAGTCACAGAGTGGAACATTCCCATTCATAGAGCAGGTTGGAAACACTCTTTTTGGAGTATCTGGAAGTGGACATTTGGAGCGCTTTCTGAACTATGGTGAAAAAGGAAATATCTTCCAATGAAAACAAGACAGAAGCATTCTGAGAAACTTATTTGTGATGTGTGTCCTCAACAAACGGACTTGAACCTTTCGTTTCATGCAGTACTTCTGGAACACTCTTTTTGAAGATTCTGCATGCGGATATTTGGATAGCTTTGAGGATTTCGTTGGAAACGGGCTTACATGTAAAAATTAGACAGCAGCATTCTCAGAAACTTCTTTGTGGTGTCTGCATTCAAGTCACAGAATTGAACTTCCCCTCACATAGAGCAGTTGTGCAGCACTCTATTTGTAGTATCTCGAAGTGGACATTTGGAGGGCTTTGTAGCCTATCCTGGAAAAAGGAAATATCTTCCCATGAATGCGAGATAGAAGTAATCTCAGAAACATGTTTATGCCGTATCTACTCAACTAACTGTGCTGAACATTTCTATTGATAGAGCAGTTTTGAGACACTCTTCTTTTGGAATCTGCAAGTGGATATTTGGATAGATTTGAGGATTTCGTTGGAAACGGGATTATATATAAAAAGTAGACAGCAGCATTCTCAGAAACTTCTTTGTGATGTTTGCATCCAGCTCTCAGAGTTGAACATTCCCTTTCATAGAGTAGGTTTGAAACCCTCTTTTTATAGTGTCTGGAAGCGGGCATTTGGAGCGCTTTCAGGCCTATGCTTAAAATAGGAAATATCTACCTACAGAAACTAGACAGAAGCATTCTGAGAATCTCGTTTGTGATGTGGGTACTCAACTAACAGTGTTGATCCATTCTTTTGATACAGCAGTTTTGAACCACACTTTTTGTAGAATCTGCAAGAGGATATTTGGATAGCTGTGAGGATTTCGTTGGAAACGGGAATGTCTTCAAAGAAAATCTAGACAGAAACATTCTCAGAAACACCTTCGTGATGTTTGCAATCAAGTCACAGAGTTGAACCTTCCGTTTCATAGAGCAGGTTGGAAACACTCTTATTGTAGTATCTGGAAGTGGACATTTGGAGCGCTTTCAGGCCTATGGTGAAAAAGGAAATATCTTCCCATAAAAACGACATAGAAGCTATCTCAGGAACTTGTTTATGAGGCATCTAATCAACTAACAGTGTTGAACCTTTGTACTGACAGAGCAGTTTGAAACACTCTTTTTTTGGAATCTGCAAGTGGATATTTGGATCGCTTTGAGGATTTCGTTGGAAACGGGATGCAATATAAAACGTACACAGCAGCATACTCAGAAAATTCTTTGCCATATTTCCATTCAAGTCACAGAGTGGAACATTCCCATTCATAGAGCAGGTTGGAAACACTCTTTTTGGAGTATCTGGAAGTGGACATTTGGAGCGCTTTCTGAACTATGGTGAAAAAGGAAATATCTTCCAATGAAAACAAGACAGAAGCATTCTGAGAAACTTATTTGTGATGTGTGTCCTCAACAAACGGACTTGAACCTTTCGTTTCATGCAGTACTTCTGGAACACTCTTTTTGAAGATTCTGCATGCGGATATTTGGATAGCTTTGAGGATTTCGTTGGAAACGGGCTTACATGTAAAAATTAGACAGCAGCATTCTCAGAAACTTCTTTGTGGTGTCTGCATTCAAGTCACAGAATTGAACATCCCCTCACATAGAGCAGTTGTGCAGCACTCTATTTGTAGTATCTGGAAGTGGACATTTGGAGGGCTTTGTAGCCTATCTGGAAAAAGGAAATATCTTCCCATGAATGCGAGATAGAAGTAATCTCAGAAACATGTTTATGCTGTATCTACTCAACTAACTGTGCTGAACATTTCTATTGATAGAGCAGTTTTGAGACACTCTTCTTTTGGAATCTGCAAGTGGATATTTGGATAGATTTGAGGATTTCGTTGGAAACGGGATTATATATAAAAAGTAGACAGCAGCATTCTCAGAAACTTCTTTGTGATGTTTGCATCCAGCTCTCAGAGTTGAGCATTCCCTTTCATAGAGTAGGTTTGAAACCCTCTTTTTATAGTGTCTGGAAGCGGGCATTTGGAGCGCTTTCAGGCCTATGCTTAAAATAGGAAATATCTACCTACAGAAACTAGACAGAAGCATTCTGAGAATCACGTTTGTGATGTGGGTACTCAACTAACAGTGTTGATCCATTCTTTTGATACAGCAGTTTTGAACCACACTTTTTGTAGAATCTGCAAGTGGATATTTGGATAGCTGTGAGGATTTCGTTGGAAACGGTAATGTCTTCAAAGAAAATCTAGACAGAAGCATTCTCAGAAACACCTTCGTGATGTTTGCAATCAAGTCACAGAGTTGAACCTTCCGTTTCATAGAGCAGGTTGGAAACACTCTTATTGTAGTATCTGGAAGTGGACATTTGGAGCGCTTTCAGGCCTATGGTGAAAAAGGAAATATCTTCCCATAAAAACGACATAGAAGCTATCTCAGGAACTTGTTTATGATGCATCTAATCAACTAACAGTGTTGAACCTTTGTACTGACAGAGCAGTTTGAAACACTTTTTTTTTGGAATCTGCAAGTGGATATTTGGATCGCTTTGAGGATTTCGTTGGAAACGGGATGCAATATAAAACGTACACAGCAGCATACTCAGAAAATACTTTGCCATATTTCCATTCAAGTCACAGAGTGGAACATTCCCATTCATAGAGCAGGTTGGAAACACTCTTTTTGGAGTATCTGGAAGTGGACATTTGGAGCGCTTTCTGAACTATGGTGAAAAAGGAAATATCTTCCAATGAAAACAAGACAGAAGCATTCTGAGAAACTTATTTGTGATGTGTGTCCTCAACAAACGGACTTGAACCTTTCGTTTCATGCAGTACTTCTGGAACACTCTTTTTGAAGATTCTGCATGCGGATATTTGGATAGCTTTGAGGATTTCGTTGGAAACGGGCTTACATGTAAAAATTAGACAGCAGCATTCTCAGAAACTTCTTTGTGGTGTCTGCATTCAAGTCACAGAATTGAACTTCCCCTCACATAGAGCAGTTGTGCAGCACTCTATTTGTAGTATCTGGAAGTGGACATTTGGAGGGCTTTGTAGCCTATCTGGAAAAAGGAAATATCTTCCCATGAATGCGAGATAGAAGTAATCTCAGAAACATGTTTATGCTGTATCTACTCAACTAACTGTGCTGAACATTTCTATTGATAGAGCAGTTTTGAGACACTCTTCTTTTGGAATCTGCAAGTGGATATTTGGATAGATTTGAGGATTTCGTTGGAAACGGGATTATATATAAAAAGTAGACAGCAGCATTCTCAGAAACTTCTTTGTGATGTTTGCATCCAGCTCTCAGAGTTGAACATTCCCTTTCATAGAGTAGGTTTGAAACCCTCTTTTTATAGTGTCTGGAAGCGGGCATTTGGAGCGCTTTCAGGCCTATGCTGAAAAAGGATATATCTACCTATAGAAACTAGACAGAAGCATTCTGAGAATCACGTTTGTGATGTGGGTACTCAACTAACAGTGTTGATCCATTCTTTTGATACAGCAGTTTTGAACCACACTTTTTGTAGAATCTGCAAGTGGATATTTGGATAGCTGTGAGGATTTCGTTGGAAACGGGAATGTCTTCATAGAAAATTTAGACAGAAGCATTCTCAGAACCTTGATTGTGATGTGTGTTCTCCACTAACAGAGTTGAACCTTTCTTTTGACAGAACTGTTCTGAAACATTCTTTTTATAGAATCTGGAAGTGGATATTTGGAAAGCTTTGAGGATTTCGTTGGAAACGGGAATATCTTCAAATCAAATCTACGCCAGAAGCATTCTAAGAAACATCTTAGGGATGTTTACATTCAAGTCACAGAGTTGAACATTCCCTTTCACAGAGCAGGTTTGAAACAATCTTCTCGTACTATCTGGCAGTGGACATTTTGAGCTCCTTGGGGCCTATGCTGAAAAAGGAAATATCTTCCGACAAAAACTAGACAGAAGCATTCGCAGAATCACGTTTGTGATGTGTGCACTCAACTGTCAGAATTGAACCTTGGTTTGGACAGAGCACTTTTGAAACACTCTTTTTGTAGAATCTGCAGGTGGATATTTGGCTAGCTTTGAGGATTTCGTTGGAAACGGTAATGTCTTCAAAGAAAATCTAGACAGAAGCATTCTCAGAAACACCTTCGTGATGTTTGCAATCAAGTCACAGAGTTGAACCTTCCGTTTCATAGAGCAGGTTGGAAACACTCTTTTTGTAGTATCTGGAAGTGGACATTTGGAGGGCTTTGTAGCCTATCTGGAAAAAGGAAATATCTTCCCATGAATGCGAGATAGAAGTAATCTCAGAAACATGTTTATGCTGTATCTACTCAACTAACTGTGCTGAACATTTCTATTGATAGAGCAGTTTTGAGACACTCTTCTTTTGGAATCTGCAAGTGGATATTTGGATAGATTTGAGGATTTCGTTGGAAACGGGATTATATATCAAAAGTAGACAGCAGCATTCTCAGAAACTTCTTTGTGATGTTTGCATCCAGCTCTCAGAGTTGAACATTCCCTTTCATAGAGTAGGTTTGAAACCCTCTTTTTATAGTGTCTGGAAGCGGGCATTTGGAGCGCTTTCAGGCCTATGCTGAAAAAGGAAATATCTACCTATGGAAACTAGACAGAAGCATTCTGAGAATCACGTTTGTGATGTGGGTACTCAACTAACAGTGTTGATCCATTCTTTTGATACAGCAGTTTTGAACCACACTTTTTGTAGAATCTGCAAGTGGATATTTGGATAGCTGTGAGGATTTCGTTGGAAACGGGAATGTCTTCATAGAAAATTTAGACAGAAGCATTCTCAGAACCTTGATTGTGATGTGTGTTCTCCACTAACAGAGTTGAACCTTTCTTTTGACAGAACTGTTCTGAAACATTCTTGTTATAGAATCTGGAAGTGGATATTTGGAAAGCTTTGAGGATTTCGTTGGAAACGGGAATATCTTCAAATCAAATCTAGCCAGAAGCATTCTAAGAAACATCTTAGGGATGTTTACATTCAAGTCACAGAGTTGAACATTCCCCTTTCTCAGAGCAGGTTTGAAACAATCTTCTCGTACTATCTGGCAGTGGACATTTTGAGCTCCTTGGGGCCTATGCTGAAAAAGGAAATATTCTTCCGACAAAAACTAGACAGAAGCATTCACAGAATCACGTTTGTGATGTGTGCACTCAACTGTCAGAATTGAACCTTTGTTTGGACAGAGCACTTTTGAAACACTCTTTTTGTAGGATCTGCAGGTGGATATTTGGCTAGCTTTGAGGATTTCGTTGGAAACGGTAATGTCTTCAAAGAAAATCTAGACAGAAACATCCTCAGAAACACCTTCGTGATGTTTGCAATCAAGTCACAGAGTTGAACCTTCCGTTTCATAGAGCAGGTTGGAAACACTCATTTTGTAGTGTCTAGAAGTGGACATTTGGAGCGCTTTCAGGCCTATGGTGTAAAAGGAAATATCTTCCCATAAAAGCGACATAGAAGCTATCTCAGGAACTTGTTTATGATGCCTCTAATCAACTAACAGTGTTGAACCTTTGTACTGACAGAGCAGTTTGAAACACTCTTTTTTTGGAATCTGCAAGTGGATATTTGGATCGCTTTGAGGATTTCGTTGGAAACGGGATGCAATATAAAACGTACACAGCCAGCATATTCAGAAAATACTTTGCCATATTTCCATTCAAGTCACTCAGTGGAACATTCCCATTCATAGAGCAGGTTTGAAACAGTCTTTTTGGAGTATCTGGAAGTGGACATTTGGAGCGCTTTCTGAACTATGGTGAAAAAGGAAATATCTTCCAATGAAAACAAGACAGAAGCATTCTGAGCAAACTTATTTGTGATGTGTGTCCTCAACAAACGGTACTTGAACCTTTCGTTTCATGCAGTACTTCTGGAACACTCTTTTTGAAGATTCTGCATGCGGATATTTGGATAGCTTTGAGGATCTCGTTGGAAACGGGCTTACATGTAAAAATTAGACAGCAGCATTCTCAGAAACTTCTTTGTGGTGTCTGCATTCAAGTCACAGAATTGAACTTCCCCTCACATAGAGCAGTTGTGCAGCACTCTATTTGTAGTATCTGGAAGTGGACATTTGGAGGGCTTTGTAGCCTATCTGGAAAAAGGAAATATCTTCCCATGAATGCGAGATAGAAGTAATCTCAGAAACATGTTTATGCTGTATCTACTCAACTAACTGTGCTGAACATTTCTATTGATAGAGCAGTTTTGAGACACTCTTCTTTTGGAATCTGCAAGTGGATATTTGGATAGATTTGAGGATTTCGTTGGAAACGGGATTATATATAAAAAGTAGACAGCAGCATTCTCAGAAACTTCTTTGTGATGTTTGCATCCAGCTCTCAGAGTTGAACATTCCCTTTCATAGAGTAGGTTTGAAACCCTCTTTTTATAGTGTCTGGAAGCGGGCATTTGGAGCGCTTTCAGACCTATGCTTAAAATAGGAAATATCTACCTACAGAAACTAGACAGAAGCATTCTGAGAATCTCGTTTGTGATGTGGGTACTCAACTAACAGTGTTGATCCATTCTTTAGATACAGCAGTTTTGAACCACACTTTTTGTAGAATCTGCAAGAGGATATTTGGATAGCTGTGAGGATTTCGTTGGAAACGGGAATGTCTTCAAAGAAAATCTAGACAGAAACATTCTCAGAAACACCTTCGTGATGTTTGCAATCAAGTCACAGAGTTGAACCTTCCGTTTCATAGAGCAGGTTGGAAACACTCTTATTGTAGTATCTGGAAGTGGACATTTGGAGCGCTTTCAGGCCTATGGTGAAAAAGGAAATATCTTCCCATAAAAACAACATAGAAGCTATCTCAGGAACTTGTTTATGAGGCATCTAATCAACTAACAGTGTTGAACCTTTGTACTGACAGAGCAGTTTGAAACACTCTTTTTTTGGAATCTGCAAGTGGATATTTGGATCGCTTTGAGGATTTCGTTGGAAACGGGATGCAATATAAAACTGTACACAGCAGCATACTCAGAAAATTCTTTGCCATATTTCCATTCAAGTCACAGAGTGGAACATTCCCATTCATAGAGCAGGTTGGAAACACTCTTTTTGGAGTATCTGGAAGTGGACATTTGGAGCGCTTTCTGAACTATGGTGAAAAAGGAAATATCTTCCAATGAAAACAAGACAGAAGCATTCTGAGAAACTTATTTGTGATGTGTGTCCTCAACAAACGGACTTGAACCTTTCGTTTCATGCAGTACTTCTGGAACACTCTTTTTGAAGATTCTGCATGCGGATATTTGGATAGCTTTGAGGATTTCGTTGGAAACGGGCTTACATGTAAAAATTAGACAGCAGCATTCTCAGAAACTTCTTGTGCTGTCTGCATTCAAGTCACAGAATTGAACTTCCCCTCACATAGAGCAGTTGTGCAGCACTCTATTTGTAGTATCTGGAAGTGGACATTTGGAGGGCTTTGTAGCCTATCTGGAAAAAGGAAATATCTTCCCATGAATGCGAGATAGAAGTAATCTCAGTAAACATGTTTATGCTGTATCTACTCAACTAACTGTGCTGAACATTTCTATTGATAGAGCAGTTTTGAGACACTCTTCTTTTGGAATCTGCAAGCGGATATTTGGATAGATTTGAGGATTTCGTTGGAAACGGGATTATATATAAAAAGTAGACAGCAGCATTCTCAGAAACTTCTTTGTGATGTTTGCATCCAGCTCTCAGAGTTGAACATTCCCTTTCATAGAGTAGGTTTGAAACCCTCTTTTTATAGTGTCTGGAAGCGGGCATTTGGAGCGCTTTCAGGCCTATGCTGAAAAAGGAAATATCTACCTATAGAAACTAGACAGAAGCATTCTGAGAATCACGTTTGTGATGTGGGTACTCAACTAACAGTGTTGATCCATTCTTTTGATACAGCAGTTTTGAACCACACTTTTTGTAGAATCTGCAAGTGGATATTTGGATAGCTGTGAGGATTTCGTTGGAAACGGGAATGTCTTCATAGAAAATTTAGACAGAAGCATTCTCAGAACCTTGATTGTGATGTGTGTTCTCCACTAACAGAGTTGAACCTTTCTTTTGACAGAACTGTTCTGAAACATTCTTTTTATAGAATCTGGAAGTGGATATTTGGAAAGCTTTGAGGATTTCGTTGGAAACGGGAATATCTTCAAATAAAATCTAGCCAGAAGCATTCTAAGAAACATCTTAGGGATGTTTACATTCAAGTCACAGAGTTGAACATTCCCTTTCACAGAGCAGGTTTGAAACAATCTTCTCGTACTATCTGGCAGTGGACATTTTGAGCTCTTTGGGGCCTATGCTGAAAAAGGAAATATCTTCCGACAAAAACTAGACAGAAGCATTCGCAGAATCACGTTTGTGATGTGTGCACTCAACTGTCAGAATTGAACCTTGGTTTGGAGAGAGCACTTTTGAAACACTCTTTTTGTAGAATCTGCAGGTGGATATTTGGCTAGCTTTGAGGATTTCGTTGGAAACGGTAATGTCTTCAAAGAAAATCTAGACAGAAGCATTCTCAGAAACACCTTCGTGATGTTTGCAATCAAGTCACAGAGTTGAACCTTCCGTTTCATAGAGCAGGTTGGAAACACTCTTATTGTAGTATCTGGAAGTGGACATTTGGAGCGCTTTCAGGCCTATGGTGAAAAAGGAAATATCTTCCCATAAAAACGACATAGAAGCTATCTCAGGAACTTTTTTATGATGCATCTAATCAACTAACAGTGTTGAACCTTTGTACTGACAGAGCAGCTTGAAACACTCTTTTTTTGGAATCTGCAAGTGGATATTTGGATCGCTTTGAGGATTTCGTTGGAAACGGGATGCAATATAAAACGTACACAGCAGCATACTCAGAAAATACTTTGCCATATTTCCATTCAAGTCACAGAGTGGAACATTCCCATTCATAGAGCAGGTTGGAAACACTCTTTTTGGAGTATCTGGAAGTGGACATTTGGAGCGCTTTCTGAACTATGGTGAAAAAGGAAATATCTTCCAATGAAAACAAGACAGAAGCATTCTGAGAAACTTATTTGTGATGTGTGTCCTCAACAAACGGACTTGAAACTTTCGTTTCATGCAGTAGTTCTGGAACACTCTTTTTGAAGATTCTGCATGCGGATATTTGGATAGCTTTGAGGATTTCGTTGGAAACGGTCTTACATGTAAAAATTAGACAACAGCATTCTCAGAAACTTCTTTGTGGTGTCTGCATTCAAGTCACAGAATTGAACTTCCCCTCACATAGAGCAGTTGTGCAGCACTCTATTTGTAGTATCTGGAAGTGGACATTTGGAGGGCTTTGTAGCCTATCTGGAAAAAGGAATTATCTTCCCATGAATGCGAGATAGAAGTAATCTCAGAAACATGTTTATGCTGTATCTACTCAACTAACTGTGCTGAACATTTCTATTGATAGAGCAGTTTTGAGACACTCTTCTTTTGGAATCTGCAAGTGGATATTTGGATAGATTTGAGGATTTCGTTGGAAACGGGATTATATATAAAAAGTAGACAGCAGCATTCTCAGAAACTTCTTTGTGATGTTTGCATCCAGCTCTCAGAGTTGAACATTCCCTTTCATAGAGTAGGTTTGAAACCCTCTTTTTATAGTGTCTGGAAGCGGGCATTTGGAGCGCTTTCAGGCCTATGCTGAAAAAGGAAATATCTACCTATAGAAACTAGACAGAAGCATTCTGAGAATCACGTTTGTGATGTGGGTACTCAACTAACAGTGTTGATCCATTCTTTTGATACAGCAGTTTTGAACCACACTTTTTGTAGAATCTGCAAGTGGATATTTGGATAGCTGTGAGGATTTCGTTGGAAACGGGAAGGTCTTCATAGAAAATTTAGACAGAAGCATTCTCAGAACCTTGATTGTGATGTGTGTTCTCCACTAACAGAGTTGAACCTTTCTTTTGACAGAACTGTTCTGAAACATTCTTTTTATAGAATCTGGAAGTGGATATTTGGAAAGCTTTGAGGATTTCGTTGGAAACGGGAATATCTTCAAATCAAATCTAGCCAGAAGCATTCTAAGAAACATCTTAGGGATGTTTACATTCAAGTCACAGAGTTGAACATTCCCTTTCACAGAGCAGGTTTGAAACAATCTTCTCGTACTATCTGGCAGTGGACATTTTGAGCTCCTTGGGGCCTATGCTGAAAAAGGAAATATCTTCCGACAAAAACTAGACAGAAGCATTCGCAGAATCACGTTTGTGATGTGTGCACTCAACTGTCAGAATTGAACCTTGGTTTGGACAGAGCACTTTTGAAACACTCTTTTTGTAGAATCTGCAGGTGGATATTTGGCTAGCTTTGAGGATTTCGTTGGAAACGGTAATGTCTTCAAAGAAAATCTAGACAGAAGCATTCTCAGAAACAACTTCGTGATGTTTGCAATCAAGTCACAGAGTTGAACCTTCCGTTTCATAGAGCAGGTTGGAAACACTCTTTTGTAGTATCTGGAAGTGGACATTTGGAGGGCTTTGTAGCCTATCTGGAAAAAGGAAATATCTTCCCATGAATGCGAGATAGAAGCTATCTCAGGAACTTGTTTATGATGCATCTAATCAACTAACAGTGTTGAACCTTTGTACTGACAGAGCAGTTTGAAACACTCTTTTTTTGGAATCTGCAAGTGGATATTTGGATCGCTTTGAGGATTTCGTTGGAAACGGGATGCAATATAAAACGTACACAGCAGCATACTCAGAAAATACTTTGCCATATTTCCATTCAAGTCACAGAGTGGAACATTCCCATTCATAGAGCAGGTTGGAAACACTCTTTTTGGAGTATCTGGAAGTGGACATTTGGAGCGCTTTCTGAACTATGGTGAAAAAGGAAATATCTTCCAATGAAAACAAGACAGAAGCATTCTGAGAAATTTATTTGTGATGTGTGTCCTCAACAAACGGACTTGAACCTTTCGTTTCATGCAGTACTTCTGGAACACTCTTTTTGAAGATTCTGCATGCGGATATTTGGATAGCTTTGAGGATTTCGTTGGAAACGGGCTTACATGTAAAAATTAGACAGCAGCATTCTCAGAAACTTCTTTGTGGTGTCTGCATTCAAGTCACAGAATTGAACTTCCCCTCACATAGAGCAGTTGTGCAGCACTCTATTTGTAGTATCTGGAAGTGGACATTTGGAGGGCTTTGTAGCCTATCTGGAAAAAGGAAATATCTTCCCATGAATGCGAGATAGAAGTATCTCAGAAACATGTTTATGCTGTATCTACTCAACTAACTGTGCTGAACATTTCTATTGATAGAGCAGTTTTGAGACACTCTTCTTTTGGAATCTGCAAGTGGATATTTGGATAGATTTGAGGATTTCGTTGGAAACGGGATTATATATAAAAAGTAGACAGCAGCATTCTCAGAAACTTCTTTGTGATGTTTGCATCCAGCTCTCAGAGTTGAACATTCCCTTTCATAGAGTAGGTTTGAAACCCTCTTTTTATAGTGTCTGGAAGCGGGCATTTGGAGCGCTTTCAGGCCTATGCTTAAAATAGGAAATATCTACCTACAGAAACTAGACAGAAGCATTCTGAGAATCACGTTTGTGATGTGGGTACTCAACTAACAGTGTTGATCCATTCTTTTGATACAGCAGTTTTGAACCACACTTTTTGTAGAATCTGCAAGAGGATATTTGGATAGCTGTGAGGATTTCGTTGGAAACGGGAATGTCTTCAAAGAAAATCTAGACAGAAGCATTCTCAGAAACACCTTCGTGATGTTTGCAATCAAGTCACAGAGTTGAACCTTCCGTTTCATAGAGCAGGTTGGAAACACTCTTATTGTAGTATCTGGAAGTGGACATTTGGAGCGCTTTCAGGCCTATGGTGAAAAAGGAAATATCTTCCCATAAAAACGACATAGAAGCTATCTCAGGAACTTGTTTATGATGCATCTAATCAACTAACAGTGTTGAACCTTTGTACTGACAGAGCAGTTTGAAACACTCTTTTTTTGGAATCTGCAAGTGGATATTTGGATCGCTTTGAGGATTTCGTTGGAAACGGGATGCAATATAAAACGTACACAGCAGCATACTCAGAAAATACTTTGCCATATTTCCATTCAAGTCACAGAGTGGAACATTCCCATTCATAGAGCAGGTTTGAAACACTCTTTTTGGAGTATCTGGAAGTGGACATTTGGAGCGCTTTCTGAACTATGGTGAAAAAGGAAATATCTTCCAATGAAAACAAGACAGAAGCATTCTGAGAAACTTATTTGTGATGTGTGTCCTCAACAAACGGACTTGAACCTTTCGTTTCATGCAGTACTTCTGGAACACTCTTTTTGAAGATTCTGCATGCGGATATTTGGATAGCTTTGAGGATTTCGTTGGAAACGGGCTTACATGTAAAAATTAGACAGCAGCATTCTCAGAAACTTTTTTGTGGTGTCTGCATTCAAGTCACAGAATTGAACTTCCCCTCACATAGAGCAGTTGTGCAGCACTCTATTTGTAGTATCTGGAAGTGGACATTTGGAGGGCTTTGTAGCCTATCTGGAAAAGGAAATATCTTCCCATGAATGCGAGATAGAAGTAATCTCAGAAACATGTTTATGCTGTATCTACTCAACTAACTGTGCTGAACATTTCTATTGATAGAGCAGTTTTCAGACACTCTTCTTTTGGAATCTGCAAGTGGATATTTGGATAGATTTGAGGATTTCGTTGGAAACGGGATTATATATAAAAAGTAGACAGCAGCATTCTCAGAAACTTCTTTGTGATGTTTGCATCCAGCTCTCAGAGTTGAACATTCCCTTTCATAGAGTAGGTTTGAAACCCTCTTTTTATAGTGTCTGGAAGCGGGCATTTGGAGCGCTTTCAGGCCTATGCTGAAAAAGGAGACATCTACCTATAGAAACTAGACAGAAGCATTCCGAGAATCACGTTTGTGATGTGGGTACTCAACTAACAGTGTTGATCCATTCTTTTGATACAGCAGTTTTGAACCACACTTTTTGTAGAATCTGCAAGAGGATATTTGGATAGCTGTGAGGATTTCGTTGGAAACGGGAATGTCTTCAAAGAAAATCTAGACAGAAGCATTCTCAGAAACACCTTCGTGATGTTTGCAATCAAGTCACAGAGTTGAACCTTCCGTTTCATAGAGCAGGTTGGAAACACTCTTATTGTAGTATCTGGAAGTGGACATTTGGAGCGCTTTCAGGCCTATGGTGAAAAAGGAAATATCTTCCCATAAAAACGACATAGAAGCTATCTCAGGAACTTGTTTATGAGGCATCTAATCAACTAACAGTGTTGAACCTTTGTACTGACAGAGCAGTTTGAAACACTCTTTTTTTGGAATCTGCAAGTGGATATTTGGATCGCTTTGAGGATTTCGTTGGAAACGGGATGCAATATAAAACGTACACAGCAGCATACTCAGAAAATTCTTTGCCATATTTCCATTCAAGTCACAGAGTGGAACATTCCCATTCATAGAGCAGGTTGGAAACACTCTTTTTGGAGTATCTGGAAGTGGACATTTGGAGCGCTTTCTGAACTATGGTGAAAAAGGAAATATCTTCCAATGAAAACAAGACAGAAGCATTCTGAGAAACTTATTTGTGATGTGTGTCCTCAACAAACGGACTTGAACCTTTCGTTTCATGCAGTACTTCTGGAACACTCTTTTTGAAGATTCTGCATGCGGATATTTGGATAGCTTTGAGGATTTCGTTGGAAACGGGCTTACATGTAAAAATTAGACAGCAGCATTCTCAGAAACTTCTTTGTGGTGTCTGCATTCAAGTCACAGAATTGAACATCCCCTCACATAGAGCAGTTGTGCAGCACTCTATTTGTAGTATCTGGAAGTGGACATTTGGAGGGCTTTGTAGCCTATCTGGAAAAAGGAAATATCTTCCCATGAATGCGAGATAGAAGTAATCTCAGAAACATGTTTATGCTGTATCTACTCAACTAACTGTGCTGAACATTTCTATTGATAGAGCAGTTTTGAGACACTCTTCTTTTGGAATCTGCAAGTGGATATTAGGATAGATTTGAGGATTTCCTTGGAAACGGGATTATATATCAAAAGTAGACAGCAGCATTCTCAGAAACTTCTTTGTGATGTTTGCATCCAGCTCTCAGAGTTGAACATTCCCTTTCATAGAGTAGGTTTGAAACCCTCTTTTTATAGTGTCTGGAAGCGGGCATTTGGAGCGCTTTCAGGCCTATGCTGAAAAAGGAAATATCTACCTATAGAAACTAGACAGAAGCATTCTGAGAATCACGTTTGTGATGTGGGTACTCAACTAACAGTGTTGATCCATTCTTTTGATACAGCAGTTTTGAACCACACTTTTTGTAGAATCTGCAAGTGGATATTTGGATAGCTGTGAGGATTTCGTTGGAAACGGGAATGTCTTCATAGAAAATTTAGACAGAAGCATTCTCAGAACCTTGATTGTGATGTGTGTTCTCCACTAACAGAGTTGAACCTTTCTTTTGACAGAACTGTTCTGAAACATTCTTTTTATAGAATCTGGAAGTGGATATTTGGAAAGCTTTGAGGATTTCGTTGGAAACGGGAATATCTTCAAATCAAATCTAGCCAGAAGCATTCTAAGAAACATCTTAGGGATGTTTACATTCAAGTCACAGAGTTGAACATTCCCTTTCACAGAGCAGGTTTGAAACAATCTTCTCGTACTATCTGGCAGTGGACATTTTGAGCTCCTTGGGGCCTATGCTGAAAAAGGAAATATCTTCCGACAAAAACTAGACAGAAGCATTCGCAGAATCACGTTTGTGATGTGTGCACTCAACTGTCAGAATTGAACCTTTGTTTCGACAGAGCACCTATGAAACACTCTTTTTGTAGAATCTGCAGGTGGATATTTGGCTAGCTTTGAGGATTTCGTTGGAAACGGTAATGTCTTCAAAGAAAATCAAGACAGAAACATCCTCAGAAACACCTTCGTGATGTTTGCAATCAAGTCACAGAGTTGAACCTTCCGTTTCATAGAGCAGGTTGGAAACACTCATTTTGTAGTATCTGGAAGTGGACATTTGGAGCGCTTTCAGGCCTATGGTGTAAAAGGAAATATGTTCCCATAAAAACGACATAGAATCTATATCAGGAACTTGTTTATGATGCATCTAATCAACTAACAGTGTTGAACCTTTGTACTGACAGAGCAGTTTGAAACACTCTTTTTTTGGAATCTGCAAGTGGATATTTGGATCGCTTTGAGGATTTCGTTGGAAACGGGATGCAATATAAAACGTACACAGCAGCATACTCAGAAAATACTTTGCCATATTTCCATTCAAGTCACAGAGTGGAACATTCCCATTCATAGAGCAGGTTTGAAACACTCTTTTTGGAGTATCTGGAAGTGGACATTTGGAGCGCTTTCTGAACTATGGTGAAAAAGGAAATATCTTCCAATGAAAACAAGACAGAAGCATTCTGAGAAACTTATTTGTGATGTGTGTCCTCAACAAACGGACTTGAACCTTTCGTTTCATGCAGTACTTCTGGAACACTCTTTTTGAAGATTCTGCATGCGGATATTTGGATAGCTTTGAGGATTTCGTTGGAAACGGGCTTACATGTAAAAATTAGACAGCAGCATTCTCAGAAACTTCTTTGTGGTGTCTGCATTCAAGTCACAGAATTGAACTTCCCCTCACATAGAGCAGTTGTGCAGCACTCTATTTGTAGTATCTGGAAGTGGACATTTGGAGGGCTTTGTAGCCTATCTGGAAAAAGGAAATATCTTCCCATGAATGCGAGATAGAAGTAATCTCAGAAACATGTTTATGCTGTATCTACTCAACTAACTGTGCTGAACATTTCTATTGATAGAGCAGTTTTGAGACACTCTTCTTTTGGAATCTGCAAGTGGATATTTGGATAGATTTGAGGATTTCGTTGGAAACGGGATTATATATAAAAAGTAGACAGCAGCATTCTCAGAAACTTCTTTGTGATGTTTGCATCCAGCTCTCAGAGTTGAACATTCCCTTTCATAGAGTAGGTTTGAAACCCTCTTTTTATAGTGTCTGGAAGCGGGCATTTGGAGCGCTTTCAGGCCTATGCTTAAAATAGGAAATATCTACCTACAGAAACTAGACAGAAGCATTCTGAGAATCACGTTTGTGATGTGGGTACTCAACTAACAGTGTTGATCCATTCTTTTGATACAGCAGTTTTGAACCACACTTTTTGTAGAATCTGCAAGAGGATATTTGGATAGCTGTGAGGATTTCGTTGGAAACGGGAATGTCTTCAAAGAAAATCTAGACAGAAAGCATTCTCAGAAACACCTTCGTGATGTTTGCAATCAAGTCACAGAGTTGAACCTTCCGTTTCATAGAGCAGGTTGGAAACACTCTTATTGTAGTATCTGGAAGTGGACATTTGGAGCGCTTTCAGGCCTATGGTGAAAAAGGAAATATCTTCCCATAAAAACGACATAGAGCTATCTCAGGAACTTGTTTATGATGCATCTAATCAACTAACAGTGTTGAACCTTTGTACTGACAGAGCAGTTTGAAACACTCTTTTTTTGGAATCTGCAAGTGGATATTTGGATCGCTTTGAGGATTTCGTTGGAAACGGGATGCAATATAAAACGTACACAGCAGCATACTCAGGAAATACTTTGCCATATTTCCATTCAAGTCAGAGAGTGGAACATTCCCATTCATAGAGCAGGTTGGAAACACTCTTTTTGGAGTATCTGGAAGTGGACATTTGGAGCGCTTTCTGAACTATGGTGAAAAAGGAAATATCTTCCAATGAAAACAAGACAGAAGCATTCTGAGAAACTTATTTGTGATGTGTGTCCTCAACAAACGGACTTGAACCTTTCGTTTCATGCAGTACTTCTGGAACACTCTTTTTGAAGATTCTGCATGCGGATATTTGGATAGCTTTGAGGATTTCGTTGGAAACGGGCTTACATGTAAAAATTAGACAGCAGCATTCTCAGAAACTTCTTTGTGGTGTCTGCATTCAAGTCACAGAATTGAACTTCCCCTCACATAGAGCAGTTGTGCAGCACTCTATTTGTAGTATCTGGAAGTGGACATTTGGAGGGCTTTGTAGCCTATCTGGAAAAAGGAAATATCTTCCCATGAATGCGAGATAGAAGTAATCTCAGAAACATGTTTATGCTGTATCTACTCAACTAACTGTGCTGAACATTTCTATTGATAGAGCAGTTTTGAGACCCTCTTCTTTTGGAATCTGCAAGTGGATATTTGGATAGATTTGAGGATTTCGTTGGAAACGGGATTATATATAAAAAGTAGACAGCAGCATTCTCAGAAACTTCTTTGTGATGTTTGCATCCAGCTCTCAGAGTTGAACATTCCCTTTCATAGAGTAGGTTTGAAACCCTCTTTTTATAGTGTCTGGAAGCGGGCATTTGGAGCGCTTTCAGGCCTATGCTGAAAAAGGAAATATCTACCTATAGAAACTAGACAGAAGCATTCTGAGAATCACGTTTGTGATGTGGGTACTCAACTAACAGTGTTGATCCATTCTTTTGATACAGCAGTTTTGAACCACACTTTTTGTAGAATCTGCAAGTGGATATTTGGATAGCTGTGAGGATTTCGTTGGAAACGGGAATGTCTTCATAGAAAATTTAGACAGAAGCATTCTCAGAACCTTGATTGTGATGTGTGTTCTCCACTAACAGAGTTGAACCTTTCTTTTGACAGAACTGTTCTGAAACATTCTTTTTATAGAATCTGGAAGTGGATATTTGGAAAGCTTTGAGGATTTCGTTGGAAACGGGAATATCTTCAAATCAAATCTAGCCAGAAGCATTCTAAGAAACATCTTAGGGATGTTTACATTCAAGTCACAGAGTTGAACATTCCCTTTCACAGAGCAGGTTTGAAACAATCTTCTCGTACTATCTGGCAGGGGACATTTTGAGCTCCTTGGGGCCTATGCTGAAAAAGGAAATATCTTCCGACAAAAACTAGACAGAAGCATTCGCAGAATCACGTTTGTGATGTGTGCACTCAACTGTCAGAATTGAACCTTGGTTTGGAGGGAGCACTTTTGAAACACACTTTTTGTAGAATCTGCAGGTGGATATTTGGCTAGCTTTGAGGATTTCGTTGGAAACGGTAATGTCTTCAAAGAAAATCTAGACAGAAGCATTCTCAGAAACACCTTCGTGATGTTTGCAATCAAGTCACAGAGTTGAACCTTCCGTTTCATAGAGCAGGTTGGAAACACTCTTTTTGTAGTATCTGGAAGTGGACATTTGGAGGGCTTTGTAGCCTATCTGGAAAAAGGAAATATCTTCCCATGAATGCGAGATAGAAGTAATCTGAGAAACATGTTTATGCTGTATCTACTCAACTAACTGTGCTGAACATTTCTATTGATAGAGCAGTTTTGAGACACTCTTCTTTTGGAATCTGCAAGTGGATATTTGGAGAGATTTGAGGATTTCGTTGGAAACGGGATTATATATAAAAAGTAGACAGCAGCATTCTCAGAAACTTCTTTGTGATGTTTGCATCCAGCTCTCAGAGTTGAACATTCCCTTTCATAGAGTAGGTTTGAAACCCTCTTTTTATAGTGTCTGGAAGCGGGCATTTGGAGCGCTTTCAGGCCTATGCTTAAAATAGGAAATATCTACCTACAGAAACTAGACAGAAGCATTCTGAGAATCACGTTTGTGATGTGGGTACTCAACTAACAGTGTTGATCCATTCTTTTGATACAGCAGTTTTGAACCACACTTTTTGTAGAATCTGCAAGAGGATATTTGGATAGCTGTGAGGAATTCGTTGGAAACGGGAATGTCTTCAAAGAAAATCTAGACAGAAGCATTCTCAGAAACACCTTCGTGATGTTTGCAATCAAGTCACAGAGTTGAACCTTCCGTTTCATAGAGCAGGTTGGAAACACTCTTATTGTAGTATCTGGAAGTGGACATTTGGAGCGCTTTCAGGCCTATGGTGAAAAAGGAAATATCTTCCCATAAAAACGACATAGAAGCTGTCTCAGGAACTTGTTTATGATGCATCTAATCAACTAACAGTGTTGAACCTTTGTACTGACAGAGCAGTTTGAAACACTCTTTTTTTGGAATCTGCAAGTGGATATTTGGATCGCTTTGAGGATTTCGTTGGAAACGGGATGCAATATAAAACGTACACAGCAGCATACTCAGAAAATACTTTGCCATATTTCCATTCAAGTCACAGAGTGGAACATTCCCATTCATAGAGCAGGTTTGAAACACTCTTTTTGGAGTATCTGGAAGTGGACATTTGGAGCGCTTTCTGAACTATGGTGAAAAAGGAAATATCTTCCAATGAAAACAACACAGAAGCATTCTGAGAAACTTATTTGTGATGTGTGTCCTCAACAAACGGACTTGAACCTTTCGTTTCATGCAGTACTTCTGGAACACTCTTTTTGAAGATTCTGCATTCGGATATTTGGATAGCTTTGAGGATTTCGTTGGAAACGGGCTTACATGTAAAAATTAGACAGCAGCATTCTCAGAAACTTCTTTGTGGTGTCTGCATTCAAGTCACAGAATTGAACTTCCCCTCACATAGAGCAGTTGTGCAGCACTCTATTTGTAGTATCTGGAAGTGGACATTTGGAGGGCTTTGTAGCCTATCTGGAAAAAGGAAATATCTTCCCATGAATGCGAGATAGAAGTAATCTCAGAAACATGTTTATGCTGTATCTACTCAACTAACTGTGCTGAACATTTCTATTGATAGAGCAGTTTTGAGACACTCTTCTTTTGGAATCTGCAAGTGGATATTTGGATAGATTTGAGGATTTCGTTGGAAACGGGATTATATATAAAAAGTAGACAGCAGCATTCTCAGAAACTTCTTTGTGATGTTTGCATCCAGCTCTCAGAGTTGAACATTCCCTTTCATAGAGTAGGTTTGAAACCCTCTTTTTATAGTGTCTGGAAGCGGGCATTTGGAGCGCTTTCAGGCCTATGCTGAAAAAGGAAATATCTACCTATAGAAACTAGACAGAAGCATTCTGAGAATCACGTTTGTGATGTGGGTACTCAACTAACTGTGTTGATCCATTCTTTTGATACAGCAGTTTTGAACCACACTTTTTGTAGAATCTGCAAGTGGATATTTGGATAGCTGTGAGGATTTCGTTGGAAACGGGAATGTCTTCATAGAAAATTTAGACAGAAGCATTCTCAGAACCTTGATTGTGATGTGTGTTCTCCACTAACAGAGTTGAACCTTTCTTTTGACAGAACTGTTCTGAAACATTCTTTTTATAGAATCTGGAAGTGGATATTTGGAAAGCTTTGAGGATTTCGTTGGAAACGGGAATATCTTCAAATAAAATCTAGCCAGAAGCATTCTAAGAAACATCTTAGGGATGTTTACATTCAAGTCACAGAGTTGAACATTCCCTTTCACAGAGCAGGTTTGAAACAATCTTCTCGTACTATCTGGCAGTGGACATTTTGAGCTCCTTGGGGCCTATGCTGAAAAAGGAAATATCTTCCGACAAAAACTAGACAGAAGCATTCGCAGAATCACGTTTGTGATGTGTGCACTCAACTGTCAGAATTGAACCTTGGTTTGGAGGGAGCACTTTTGAAACACACTTTTTGTAGAATCTGCAGGTGGATATTTGGCTAGCTTTGAGGATTTCGTTGGAAACGGTAATGTCTTCAAAGAAAATCTAGACAGAAGCATTCTCAGAAACACCTTCGTGATGTTTGCAATCAAGTCACAGAGTTGAACCTTCCGTTTCATAGAGCAGGTTGGAAACACACTTTTTGTAGTATCTGGAAGTGGACATTTGGAGGGCTTTGTAGCCTATCTGGAAAAAGGAAATATCTTCCCATGAATGCGAGATAGAAGCTATCTCAGGAACTTTTTTATGATGCATCTAATCAACTAACAGTGTTGAACCTTTGTACTGACAGAGCAGTTTGAAACACTCTTTTTTTGGAATCTGCAAGTGGATATTTGGATCGCTTTGAGGATTTCGTTGGAAACGGGATGCAATATAAAACGTACACAGCAGCATACTCAGAAAATACTTTGCCATATTTCCATTCAAGTCACAGAGTGGAACATTCCCATTCATAGAGCAGGTTGGAAACACTCTTTTTGGAGTATCTGGAAGTGGACATTTGGAGCGCTTTCTGAACTATGGTGAAAAAGGAAATATCTTCCAATGAAAACAACACAGAAGCATTCTGAGAAACTTATTTGTGATGTGTGTCCTCAACAAACGGACTTGAACCTTTCGTTTCATGCAGTACTTCTGGAACACTCTTTTTGAAGATTCTGCATGCGGATATTTGGATAGCTTTGAGGATTTCGTTGGAAACGGTCTTACATGTAAAAATTAGACAGCAGCATTCTCAGAAACTTCTTTGTGGTGTCTGCATTCAAGTCACAGAATTTAACTTCCCCTCACATAGAGCAGTTGTGCAGCACTCTATTTGTAGTATCTGGAAGTGGACATTTGGAGGGCTTTGTAGCCTATGTGGAAAAAGGAAATATCTTCCCATGAATGCGAGATAGAAGTAATCTCAGAAACATGTTTATGCTGTATCTACTCAACTAACTGTGCTGAACATTTCTATTGATAGAGCAGTTTTGAGACACTCTTCTTTTGGAATCTGCAAGTGGATATTTGGATAGATTTGAGGATTTCGTTGGAAACGGGATTATATATAAAAAGTAGACAGCAGCATTCTCAGAAACTTCTTTGTGATGTTTGCATCCAGCTCTCAGAGTTGAACATTCCCTTTCATAGAGTAGGTTTGAAACCCTCTTTTTATAGTGTCTGGAAGCGGGCATTTGTAGCGCTTTCAGGCCTATGCTTAAAATAGGAAATATCTACCTACAGAAACTAGACAGAAGCATTCTGAGAATCACGTTTGTGATGTGGGTACTCAACTAACAGTGTCGATCCATTCTTTTGATACAGCAGTTTTGAACCACACTTTTTGTAGAATCTGCAAGTGGATATTTGGATAGCTGTGAGGATTTCATTGGAAACGGGAATGTCTTCATAGAAAATTTAGACAGAAGCATTCTCAGAACCTTGATTGTGATGTGTGTTCTCCACTAACAGAGCTGAACCTTTCTTTTGACAGAACTGTTCTGAAACATTCTTTTTATAGAATCTGGAAGTGGATATTTGGAAAGCTTTGAGGATTTCGTTGGAAACGGGAATATCTTCAAATCAAATCTAGCCAGAAGCATTCTAAGAAACAGCTTAGGGATGTTTACATTCAAGTCACAGAGTTGAACATTCCCTTTCACAGAGCAGGTTTGAAACAATCTTCTCGTACTATCTGGCAGTGGACATTTTGAGCTCTTTGGGGCCTATGCTGAAAAAGGAAATATCTTCCGACAAAAACTAGACAGAAGCATTCGCAGAATCACGTTTGTGATGTGTGCACTCAACTGTCAGAATTGAACCTTGGTTTGGACAGAGCACTTTTGAAACACTCTTTTTGTAGAATCTGCAGGTGGATATTTGGCTAGCTTTGAGGATTTCGTTGGAAACGGTAATGTCTTCAAAGAAAATCTAGACAGAAACATCCTCAGAAACACCTTCGTGATGTTTGCAATCAAGTCACAGAGTTGAACCTTCCGTTTCATAGAGCAGGTTGGAAACACTCATTTTGTAGTATCTGGAATTGGACATTTGGAGCGATTTCAGGCCTATGGTGTAAAAGGAAATATCTTCCCATAAAAGCGACATTGAAGCTATCTCAGGAACTTGTTTATGATGCATCTAATCAACTAACAGTGTTGAACCTTTGTACTGACAGAGCAGTTTGAAACACTCTTTTTTTGGAATCTGCAAGTGGATATTTGGATCGCTTTGAGGATTTCGTTGGAAACGGGATGCAATATAAAACGTACACAGCAGCATACTCAGAAAATACTTTGCCATATTTCCATTCAAGTCACAGAGTGGAACATTCCCATTCATAGAGCAGGCTGGAAACACTCTTTTTGGAGTATCTGGAAGTGGACATTTGGAGCGCTTTCTGAACTATGGTGAAAAAGGAAATATCTTCCAATGAAAACAAGACAGAAGCATTCTGAAAAACTTATTTGTGATGTGTGTCCTCAACAAACGGACTTGAACCTTTCGTTTCATGCAGTACTTCTGGAACACTCTTTTTGAAGATTCTGCATGCGGATATTTGGATAGCTTTGAGGATTTCGTTGGAAACGGGCTTACATGTAAAAATTAGACAGCAGCATTCTCAGAAACTTCTTTGTGGTGTCTGCATTCAAGTCACAGAATTGAACTTCCCCTCACATAGAGCAGTTGTGCAGCACTCTATTTGTAGTATCTGGAAGTGGACATTTGGAGGGCTTTGTAGCCTATCTGGAAAAAGGAAATATCTTCCCATGAATGCGAGATAGAAGTAATCTCAGAAACATGTTTATGCTGTATCTACTCAACTAACTGTGCTGAACATTTCTATTGATAGAGCAGTTTTGAGACACTCTTCTTTTGGAATCTGCAAGTGGATATTTGGATAGATTTGAGGATTTTCGTTGGAAACGGGATTATATATCAAAAGTAGACAGCAGCATTCTCAGAAACTTCTTTGTGATGTTTGCATCCAGCTCTCAGAGTTGAACATTCCCTTTCATAGAGTAGGTTTGAAACCCTCTTTTTATAGTGTCTGGAAGCGGGCATTTGGAGCGCTTTCAGGCCTATGCTGAAAAAGGAAATATCTACCTATAGAAACTAGACAGAAGCATTCTGAGAATCACGTTTGTGATGTGGGTACTCAACTAACAGTGTTGATCCATTCTTTTGATACAGCAGTTTTGAACCACACTTTTTGTAGAATCTGCAAGTGGATATTTGGATAGCTGTGAGGATTTCGTTGGAAACGGGAATGTCTTCATAGAAAATGTAGACAGAAGCATTCTCAGAACCTTGATTGTGATGTGTGTTCTCCACTAACAGAGTTGAACCTTTCTTTTGACAGAACTGTTCTGAAACATTCTTTTTATAGAATCTGGAAGTGGATATTTGGAAAGCTTTGAGGATTTCGTTGGAAACGGGAATATCTTCAAATCAAATCTAGCCAGAAGCATTCTAAGAAACAGCTTAGGGATGTTTACATTCAAGTCACAGAGTTGAACATTCCCTTTCACAGAGCAGGTTTGAAACAATCTTCTCGTACTATCTGGCAGTGGACATTTTGAGCTCTTTGGGGCCTATGCTGAAAAAGGAAATATCTTCCGACAAAAACTAGACAGAAGCATTCGCAGAATCACGTTTGTGATGTGTGCACTCAACTGTCAGAATTGAACCTTGGTTTGGAGAGAGCACTTTTGAAACACTCTTTTTGTAGAATCTGCAGGTGGATATTTGGCTAGCTTTGAGGATTTCGTTGGAAACGGTAATGTCTTCAAAGAAAATCTAGACAGAAGCATTCTCAGAAACACCTTCGTGATGTTTGCAATCAAGTCACAGAGTTGAACCTTCCGTTTCATAGAGCAGGTTGGAAACACACTTTTTGTAGTATCTGGAAGTGGACATTTGGAGGGCTTTGTAGCCTATCTGGAAAAAGGAAATATCTTCCCATGAATGCGAGATAGAAGCTATCTCAGGAACTTGTCTATGATGCATCTAATCAGCTAACAGTGTTGAACCTTTGTACTGACAGAACAGTTTGAAACACTCTTTTTTTGGAATCTGCAAGTGGATATTTGGATCGCTTTGAGGATTTCGTTGGAAACGGGATGCAATATAAAACGTACACAGCAGCATACTCAGAAAATACTTTGCCATATTTCCATTCAAGTCACAGAGTGGAACATTCCCATTCATAGAGCAGGTTGGAAACACTCTTTTTGGAGTATCTGGAAGTGGACATTTGGAGCGCTTTCTGAACTATGGTGAAAAAGGAAATATCTTCCAATGAAAACAAGACAGAAGCATTCTGAGAAACTTATTTGTGATGTGTGTCCTCAACAAACGGACTTGAACCTTTCGTTTCATGCAGTACTTCTGGAACACTCTTTTTGAAGATTCTGCATGCGGATATTTGGATAGCTTTGAGGATTTCGTTGGAAACGGGCTTACATGTAAAAATTAGACAGCAGCATTCTCAGAAACTTCTTTGTGGTGTCTGCATTCAAGTCACAGAATTGAACATCCCCTCACATAGAGCAGTTGTGCAGCACTCTATTTGTAGTATCTGGAAGTGGACATTTGGAGGGCTTTGTAGCCTATCTGGAAAAAGGAAATATCTTCCCATGAATGCGAGATAGAAGTAATCTCAGAAACATGTTTATGCTGTATCTACTCAACTAACTGTGCTGAACATTTCTATTGATAGAGCAGTTTTGAGACACTCTTCTTTTGGAATCTGCAAGTGGATATTTGGATAGATTTGAGGATTTCGTTGGAAACGGGATTATATATAAAAAGTAGACAGCAGCATTCTCAGAAACTTCTTTGTGATGTTTGCATCCAGCTCTCAGAGTTGAACATTCCCTTTCATAGAGTAGGTTTGAAACCCTCTTTTTATAGTGTCTGGAAGCGGGCATTTGGAGCGCTTTCAGGCCTATGCTGAAAAAGGAAATATCTACCTATAGAAACTAGACAGAAGCATTCTGAGAATCACGTTTGTGATGTGGGTACTCAACTAACAGTGTTGATCCATTCTTTTGATACAGCAGTTTTGAACCACACTTTTTGTAGAATCTGCAAGTGGATATTTGGATAGCTGTGAGGATTTCGTTGGAAACGGGAATGTCTTCATAGAAAATTTAGACAGAAGCATTCTCAGAACCTTGATTGTGATGTGTGTTCTCCACTAACAGAGTTGTACCTTTCTTTTGACAGAACTGTTCTGAAACATTCTTTTTATAGAATCTGGAAGTGGATATTTGGAAAGCTTTGAGGATTTCGTTGGAAACGGGAATATCTTCAAATCAAATCTAGCCAGAAGCATTATAAGAAACATCTTAGAGATGTTTACATTCAAGTCACAGAGTTGAACATTCCCTTTCACAGAGCAGGTTTGAAACAATCTTCTCGTACTATCTGGCAGTGGACATTTTGAGCTCCTTGGGGCCTATGCTGAAAAAGGAAATATCTTCCGACAAAAACTAGACAGAAGCATTCGCAGAATCACGTTTGTGATGTGTGCACTCAACTGTCAGTAATTGAACCTTGGTTTGGACAGAGCACTTTTGAAACACTCTTTTTGTAGAATCTGCAGGTGGATATTTGGCTAGCTTTGAGGATTTCGTTTGAAACGGTAATGTCTTCAAAGAAAATCTAGACAGAAGCATTCTCAGAAACACCTTCGTGATGTTTGCAATCAAGTCACAGAGTTGAACCTTCCGTTTCATAGAGCAGGTTGGAAACACTCTTATTGTAGTATCTGGAAGTGGACATTTGGAGCGCTTTCAGGCCTATGGTGAAAAAGGAAATATCTTCCCATAAAAACGACATAGAAGCTATCTCAGGAACTTGTTTATGATGCATCTAATCAACTAACAGTGTTGAACCTTTCTACTGACAGAGCAGTTTGAAACACTCTTTTTTTGGAATCTGCAAGTGGATATTTGGATCGCTTTGAGGATTTCGTTGGAAACGGGATGCAATATAAAACGTACACAGCAGCATACTCAGAAAATACTTTGCCATATTTCCATTCAAGTCAGAGAGTGGAACATTCCCATTCATAGAGCAGGTTTGAAACACTCTTTTTGGAGTATCTGGAAGTGGACATTTGGAGCGCTTTCTGAACTATGGTGAAAAAGGAAATATCTTCCAATGAAAACAAGACAGAAGCATTCTGAGAAACTTATTTGTGATGTGTGTCCTCAACAAACGGACTTGAACCTTTCGTTTCATGCAGTACTTCTGGAACACTCTTTTTGAAGATTCTGCATGCGGATATTTGGATAGCTTTGAGGATTTCGTTGGAAACGGGCTTACATGTAAAAATTAGACAGCAGCATTCTCAGAAACTTCTTTGTGGTGTCTGCATTCAAGTCACAGAATTGAACTTCCCCTCACATAGAGCAGTTGTGCAGCACTCTATTTGTACTATCTGGAAGTGGACATTTGGAGGGCTTTGTAGCCTATCTGGAAAAAGGAAATATCTTCCCATGAATGCGAGATAGAAGTAATCTCAGAAACATGTTTATGCTGTATCTACTCAACTAACTGTGCTGAACATTTCTATTGATAGAGCAGTTTTGAGACACTCTTCTTTTGGAATCTGCAAGTGGATATTTGGATAGATTTGAGGATTTCGTTGGAAACGGGATGATATATAAAAAGTAGACAGCAGCATTCTCAGAAACTTCTTTGTGATGTTTGCATCCAGCTCTCAGAGTTGAACATTCCCTTTCATAGAGTAGGTTTGAAACCCTCTTTTTATAGTGTCTGGAAGCGGGCATTTGGAGCGCTTTCAGGCCTATGCTGAAAAAGGAAATATCTACCTATAGAAACTAGACAGAAGCATTCTGAGAATCACGTTGGTGATGTGGGTACTCAACTAACAGTGTTGATCCATTCTTTTGATACAGCAGTTTTGAACCACACTTTTTGTAGAATCTGCAAGTGGATACTTGGATAGCTGTGAGGATTTCGTTGGAAACGGGAATGTCTTCATAGAAAATTTAGACAGGAAGCATTCTCAGAACCTTGATTGTGATGTGTGTTCTCCACTAACAGAGTTGAACCTTTCTTTTGACAGAACTGTTCTGAAACATTCTTTTTATAGAATCTGGAAGTGGATATTTGGAAAGCTTTGAGGATTTCGTTGGAAACGGGAATATCTTCAAATAAAATCTAGCCAGAAGCATTCTAAGAAACATCTTAGGGATGTTTACATTCAAGTCACAGAGTTGAACATTCCCTTTCACGGAGCAGGTTTGAAACAATCTTCTCGTACTATCTGGCAGTGGACATTTTGAGCTCTTTGCGGCCTATGCTGAAAAAGGAAATATCTTCCGACAAAAACTAGATAGAAGCATTCGCAGAATCACGTTTGTGATGTGTGCACTCAACTGTCAGAATTGAACCTTGGTTTGGAGAGAGCACTTTTGAAACACTCTTTTTGTAGAATCTGCAGGTGGATATTTGGCTAGCTTTGAGGATTTCGTTGGAAACGGTAATGTCTTCAAAGAAAATCTAGACAGAAGCATTCTCAGAAACACCTTCGTGATGTTTGCAATCAAGTCACAGAGTTGAACCTTCCGTTTCATAGAGCAGGTTGGAAACACACTTTTTGTAGTATCTGGAAGTGGACATTTGGAGGGCTTTGTAGCCTATCTGGAAAAAGGAAATATCTTCCCATGAATGCGAGATAGAAGCTATCTCAGGAACTTGTTTATGATGCATCTAATCAACTAACAGTGTTGAACCTTTGTACTGACAGAGCAGTTTGAAACACTTTTTTTTTGGAATCTGCAAGTGGATATTTGGATCGCTTTGAGGATTTCGTTGGAAACGGGATGCAATATAAAACGTACACAGCAGCATACTCAGAAAATACTTTGCCATATTTCCATTCAAGTCACAGAGTGGAACATTCCCATTCATAGAGCAGGTTGGAAACACTCTTTTTGGAGTATCTGGAAGTGGACATTTGGAGCGCTTTCTGAACTATGGTGAAAAAGGAAATATCTTCCAATGAAAACAAGACAGAAGCATTCTGAGAAACTTATTTGTGATGTGTGTCCTCAACAAACGGACTTGAACCTTTCGTTTCATGCAGTACTTCTGGAACACTCTTTTTGAAGATTCTGCATGCGGATATTTGGATAGCTTTGAGGATTTCGTTGGAAACGGGCTTACATGTAAAAATTAGACAGCAGCATTCTCAGAAACTTCTTTGTGGTGTCTGCATTCAAGTCACAGAATTGAACTTCCCCTCACATAGAGCAGTTGTGCAGCACTCTATTTGTAGTATCTGGAAGTGGACATTTGGAGGGCTTTGTAGCCTATCTGGAAAAAGGAAATATCTTCCCATGAATGCGAGATAGAAGTAATCTCAGAAACATGTTTATGCTGTATCTACTCAACTAACTGTGCTGAACATTTCTATTGATAGAGCAGTTTTGAGACACTCTTCTTTTGGAATCTGCAAGTGGATATTTGGATAGATTTGAGGATTTCGTTGGAAACGGGATTATATATAAAAAGTAGACAGCAGCATTCTCAGAAACTTCTTTGTGATGTTTGCATCCAGCTCTCAGAGTTGAACATTCCCTTTCATAGAGTAGGTTTGAAACCCTCTTTTTATAGTGTCTGGAAGCGGGCATTTGGAGCGCTTTCAGGCCTATGCTGAAAAAGGAAATATCTACCTATAGAAACTAGACAGAAGCATTCTGAGAATCACGTTTGTGATGTGGGTACTCAACTAACAGTGTTGATCCATTCTTTTGATACAGCAGTTTTGAACCACACTTTTTGTAGAATCTGCAAGTGGATATTTGGATAGCTGTGAGGATTTCGTTGGAAACGGGAATGTCTTCATAGAAAATTTAGACAGAAGCATTCTCAGAACCTTGATTGTGAAGTGTGTTCTCCACTAACAGAGTTGAACCTTTCTTTTGACGGAACTGTTCTGAAACATTCTTTTTATAGAATCTGGAAGTGGATATTTGGAAAGCTTTGAGGATTTCGTTGGAAACGGGAATATCTTCAAATCAAATCTAGCCAGAAGCATTCTAAGAAACATCTTAGGGATGTTTACATTCAAGTCACAGAGTTGAACATTCCCTTTCACAGAGCAGGTTTGAAACAATCTTCTCGTACTATCTGGCAGTGGACATTTTGAGCTCCTTGGGGCCTATGCTGAAAAAGGAAATATCTTCCGACAAAAACTAGACAGAAGCATTCGCAGAATCACGTTTGTGATGTGTGCACTCAACTGTCAGAATTGAACCTTGGTTTGGACAGAGCACTTTTGAAACACTCTTTTTGTAGAATCTGCAGGTGGATATTTGGCTAGCTTTGAGGATTTCGTTGGAAACGGTAATGTCTTCAAAGAAAATCTAGACAGAAAGCATTCTCAGAAACACCTTCGTGATGTTTGCAATCAAGTCACAGAGTTGAACCTTCCGTTTCATAGAGCAGGTTGGAAACACTCTTTTTGTAGTATCTGGAAGTGGACATTTGGAGGGCTTTGTAGCCTATCTGGAAAAAGGAAATATCTTCCCATGAATGCGAGATAGAGCTATCTCAGGAACTTGTTTATGATGCATCTAATCAACTAACAGTGTTGAACCTTTGTACTGACAGAGCAGTTTGAAACACTCTTTTTTTGGAATCTGCATGTGGATATTTGGATCGCTTTGAGGATTTCGTTGGAAACGGGATGCAATATAAAACGTACACAGCAGCATACTCAGAAAATACTTTGCCATATTTCCATTCAAGTCACAGAGTGGAACATTCCCATTCATAGAGCAGGTTTGAAACACTCTTTTTGGAGTATCTGGAAGTGGACATTTGGAGCGCTTTCTGAACTATGGTGAAAAAGGAAATATCTTCCAATGAAAACAAGACAGAAGCATTCTGAGAAAATTATTTGTGATGTGTGTCCTCAACTAACGGACTTGAACCTTTCGTTTCATGCAGTACTTCTGGAACACTCTTTTTGAAGATTGGGCATGCGGATATTTGGATAGCTTTGAGGATTTCGTTGGAAACGGGCTTACATGTAAAAATTAGACAGCAGCATTCTCAGAAACTTCTTTGTGGTGTCTGCGTTCAAGTCACAGAATTGAACATCCCCTCCCATAGAGCAGTTGTGCAGCACTCTATTTGTAGTATCTCGAAGTGGACATTTGGAGGGCTTTGTAGCCTATCTGGAAAAAGGAAATATCTTCCCATGAATGCGAGATAGAAGTAATCTCAGAAACATGTTTATGCTGTATCTACTGAACTAAATGTGCTGAACATCTCTATTGATAGAGCAGTTTTGAGACTCTCTTCTTTTGGAATCTGCAAGTGGATATTTGGATAGATTTGAGGATTTCGATGGCAACGGGATTATATATAAAAAGTAGACAGCCGCATTCTCAGCAAACTTCTTTGTGATGTTTGCATCCAGCTCTCAGAGTTGAACATTCCCTTTCGTAGAGTAGGTTTGAAACCCTCTTTTTATAGTGTCTGGAAGTGGGCATTTGGAGCGCTTTCAGGCCTATGCTGAAAAAGGAAATATCTACCTATAGAAACTAGACAGAAGCATTCTGAGAATCACGTTTGTGATGTGGGTACTCAACTAACAGTGTTGATCCATTCTTTTGATACAGCAGTTTTGAACCACCCTTTTTGTAGAATCTGCAAGTGGATATTTGGATAGCTGTGAGGATTTCGTTGGAAACGGGAATGTCTTCATAGAAAATTTAGACAGAAGCATTCTCAGAACCTGGATTGTGATGTGTGTTCTCCACTAACAGAGTTGAACCTTTCTTTTGACAGAACTGTTTTGAAACATTCTTTTTATAGAATCTGGAAGTGGATATTTGGAAAGCTTTGAGGATTTCGTTGGAAACGGGAATATCTTCAAATAAAATCTAGCCAGAAGCATTCTAAGAAACATCTTAGGGATGTGTACATTCAAGTCACAGAGTTGAACATTCCCCTTTCTCAGAGCAGGTTTGAAACAATCTTCTCGTACTATCTGGCAGTGGACATTTTGAGCTCCTTGGGGCCTATGCTGAAAAAGGAAATATCTTCCGACAAAAACTAGACAGAAGCATTCGCAGAATCACGTTTGTGATGTGTGCACTCAACTGTCAGAATTGAACCTTGGTTTGGACAGAGCACTTTTGAAACACTCTTTTTGTAGAATCTGCAGGTGGATATTTGGCTAGCTTTGAGGATTTCGTTGGAAACGGTAATGTCTTGAAAGAAAATCTAGACAGAAACATCCTCAGAAACACCTTCGTGATGTTTGCAATCAAGTCACAGAGTTGAACCTTCCGTTTCATAGAGCAGGTTGGAAACACTCATTTTGTAGTATCTGGAAGTGGACATTTGGAGCGCTTTCAGGCCTATGGTGTAAAAGGAAATATCTTCCCATAAAAGCGACATAGAAGCTATCTCAGGAACTTGTTTATGATGCCTCTAATCAACTAACAGTGTTGAACCTTTGTACTGACAGAGCAGTTTGAAACACTCTTTTTTTGGAATCTGCAAGTGGATATTTGGATCGCTTTGAGGATTTCGTTGTAAACGGGATGCAATATAAAACGTACACAGCAGCATACTCAGAAAATACTTTGCCATATTTCCATTAAAGTCACAGAGTGGAACATTCCCATTCATAGAGCAGGTTTGAAACACTCTTTTTGGAGTATCTGGAAGTGGACATTTGGAGTGCTTTCTGAACTATGGTGAAAAGGGAAATATCTTCCAATGAAAACAAGACAGAAGCATTCTGAGAAACTTATTTGTGATGCGTGTCCTCAACTAACGGACTCGAAGCTTTCGTTTCATGCAGTACTTCTGGAACACTCTTTTTGAAGATTCTGCATGCGGATATTTGGTTAGCTTTGAGGATTTCGTTGGAAACGGGCTTACATATAAAAATTAGACAGCAGCATTCTCAGAAACTTCTTTGTGGTGTCTGCTTTCAAGTCACAGAATTGAACATCCCCTCACATAGAGCAGTTGTGCAGCACTCTATTTGTAGTATCTCGAAGTGGACATTTGGAGGGCTTTGTAGCCTATCTGGAAAAAGGAAATATCTTCCCATGAATGCGAGATAGAAGTAATCTCAGAAACATGTTTATGCTGTATCTACTCAACTAACTGTGCTGAACATTTCTATTGATAGAGCAGTTTTGAGACACTCTTCTTTTGGAATCTGCAAGTGGATATTTGGATAGATTTGAGGATTTCGTTGGAAACGGGATTATATATCAAAAGTAGACAGCAGCATTCTCAGAAACTTCTTTGTGATGTTTGCATCCAGCTCTCAGAGTTGAACATTCCCTTTCATAGAGTAGGTTTGAAACCCTCTTTTTATAGTGTCTGGAAGCGGGCATTTGGAGCGCTTTCAGGCCTATGCTGAAAAAGGAAATATCTACCTATGGAAACTAGACAGAAGCATTCTGAGAATCACGTTTGTGATGTGGGTACTCAACTAACAGTGTTGATCCATTCTTTTGATACAGCAGTTTTGAACCACACTTTTTGTAGAATCTGCAAGTGGATATTTGGATAGCTGTGAGGATTTCGTTGGAAACGGGAATGTCTTCATAGAAAATTTAGACAGAAGCATTCTCAGAACCTTGATTGTGATGTGTGTTCTCCACTAACAGAGTTGAACCTTTCTTTTGACAGAACTGTTCTGAAACATTCTTGTTATAGAATCTGGAAGTGGATATTTGGAAAGCTTTGAGGATTTCGTTGGAAACGGGAATATCTTCAAATCAAATCTAGCCAGAAGCATTCTAAGAAACATCTTAGGGATGTTTACATTCAAGTCACAGAGTTGAACATTCCCTTTCACAGAGCAGGTTTGAAACAATCTTCTCGTACTATCTGGCAGTGGACATTTTGAGCTCCTTGGGGCCTATGCTGAAAAAGGAAATATCTTCCGACAAAAACTAGACAGAAGCATTCGCAGAATCACGTTTGTGATGTGTGCACTCAACTGTCAGAATTGAACCTTGGTTTGGACAGAGCACTTTTGAAACACTCTTTTTGTAGAATCTGCAGGTGGATATTTGGCTAGCTTTGAGGATTTCGTTGGAAACGGTAATGTCTTCAAAGAAAATCTAGACAGAAGCATTCTCAGAAACAGCGTCGTGATGTTTGCAATCAAGTCACAGAGTTGAACCTTCCGTTTCATAGAGCAGGTTGGAAACACTCTTTTTGTAGTATCTGGAAGTGGACATTTGGAGGGCTTTGTAGCCTATCCGGAAAAAGGAAATATCTTCCCATGAATGCGAGATAGAAGTAATCTCAGAAACATGTTTATGCTGTATCTACTCAACTAACTGTGCTGAACATTTCTATTGATAGAGCAGTTTTGAGACACTCTTCTTTTGGAATCTGCAAGTGGATATTTGGATAGATTTGAGGATTTCGTTGGAAACGGGATTATATATAAAAAGTAGACAGCAGCATTCTCAGAAACTTCTTTGTGATGTTTGCATCCAGCTCTCAGAGTTGAACATTCCCTTTCATAGAGTAGGTTTGAAACCCTCTTTTTATAGTGTCTGGAAGCGGGCATTTGGAGCGCTTTCAGGCCTATGCTTAAAATAGGAAATATCTACCTACAGAAACTAGACAGAAGCATTCTGAGAATCACGTTTGTGATGTGGGTACTCAACTAACAGTGTTGATCCATTCTTTTGATACAGCAGTTTTGAACCACACTTTTTGTAGAATCTGCAAGAGGATATTTGGATAGCTGTGAGGATTTCGTTGGAAACGGGAATGTCTTCAAAGAAAATCTAGACAGAAGCATTCTCAGAAACACCTTCGTGATGTTTGCAATCAAGTCACAGAGTTGAACCTTCCGTTTCATAGAGCAGGTTGGAAACACTCTTATTGTAGTATCTGGAAGTGGACATTTGGAGCGCTTTCAGGCCTATGGTGAAAAAGGAAATATCTTCCCATAAAAACGACATAGAAGCTATCTCAGGAACTTGTTTATGATGCATCTAATCAACTAACAGTGTTGAACCTTTGTACTGACAGAGCAGTTTGAAACACTCTTTTTTTGGAATCTGCAAGTGGATATTTGGATCGCTTTGAGGATTTCGTTGGAAACGGGATGCAATATAAAACGTACACAGCAGCATACTCAGAAAATACTTTGCCATATTTCCATTCAAGTCACAGAGTGGAACATTCCCATTCATAGAGCAGGTTGGAAACACTCTTTTTGGAGTATCTGGAAGTGGACATTTGGAGCGCTTTCTGAACTATGGTGAAAAAGGAAATATCTTCCAATGAAAACAAGACAGAAGCATTCTGAGAAACTTCTTTGTGATGTGTGTCCTCAACAAACGGACTTGAACCTTTCGTTTCATGCAGTACTTCTGGAACACTCTTTTTGAAGATTCTGCATGCGGATATTTGGATAGCTTTGAGGATTTCGTTGGAAACGGGCTTACATGTAAAAATTAGACAGCAGCATTCTCAGAAACTTCTTTGTGGTGTCTGCATTCAAGTCACAGAATTGAACTTCCCCTCACATAGAGCAGTTGTGCAGCACTCTATTTGTAGTATCTGGAAGTGGACATTTGGAGGGCTTTGTAGCCTATCTGGAAAAAGGAAATATCTTCCCATGAATGCGAGATAGAAGTAATCTCAGAAACATGTTTATGCTGTATCTACTCAACTAACTGTGCTGAACATTTCTATTGATAGAGCAGTTTTGAGACACTCTTCTTTTGGAATCTGCAAGTGGATATTTGGATAGATTTGAGGATTTCGTTGGAAACGGGATTATATATCAAAAGTAGACAGCAGCATTCTCAGAAACTTCTTTGTGATGTTTGCATCCAGCTCTCAGTGTTGAACATTCCCTTTCATAGAGTAGGTTTGAAACCCTCTTTTTATAGTGTCTGGAAGCGGGCATTTGGAGCGCTTTCAGGCCTATGCTGAAAAAGGAAATATCTACCTATAGAAACTAGACAGAAGCATTCTGAGAATCACGTTTGTGATGTGGGTACTCAACTAACAGTGTTGATCCATTCTTTTGATACAGCAGTTTTGAACCACACTTTTTGTAGAATCTGCAAGTGGATATTTGGATAGCTGTGAGGATTTCGTTGGAAACGGGAATGTCTTCATAGAAAATTTAGACAGAAGCATTCTCAGAACCTTGATTGTGATGTGTGTTCTCCACTAACAGAGTTGAACCTTTCTTTTGACAGAACTGTTCTGAAACATTCTTTTTATAGAATCTGCAAGTGGATATTTGGAAAGCTTTGAGGATTTCGTTGGAAACGGGAATATCTTCAAATCAAATCTAGCCAGAAGCATTCTAAGAAACATCTTAGGGATGTTTACATTCAAGTCACAGAGTTGAACATTCCCTTTCACAGAGCAGGTTTGAAACAATCTTCTCGTACTATCTGGCAGTGGACATTTTGAGCTCCTTGGGGCCTATGCTGAAAAAGGAAATATCTTCCGACAAAAACTAGACAGAAACATTCGCAGAGTTACGTTTGTGATGTGTGCACTCAACTGTCAGAATTCAACCTTGGTTTGGACAGAGCACTTTTGAAACACTCTTTTTGTAGAATCTGCAGGTGGATATTTGGCTAGCTTTGAGGATTTCGTTGGAAACGGTAATGTCTTCAAGGAAAATCTAGACAGAAGCATTCTCAGAAACACCTTCGTGATGTTTGCAATCAAGTCACAGAGTTGAACCTTCCGTTTCATAGAGCAGGTTGGAAACACACTTTTTGTAGTATCTGGAAGTGGACATTTGGAGGGCTTTGTAGCCTATCTGGAAAAAGGAAATATCTTCCCATGAATGCGAGATAGAAGCTATCTCAGGAACTTGTTTATGATGCATCTAATCAACTAACAGTGTTGAACCTTTGTACTGACAGAGCAGTTTGAAACACTCTTTTTTTGGAATCTGCAAGTGGATATTTGGATCGCTTTGAGGATTTCGTTGGAAACGGGATGCAATATAAAACGTACACAGCAGCATACTCAGAAAATACTTTGCCATATTTCCATTCAAGTCAGAGAGTGGAACATTCCCATTCATAGAGCAGGTTGGAAACACTCTTTTTGGAGTATCTGGAAGTGGACATTTGGAGCGCTTTCTGAACTATGGTGAAAAAGGAAATATCTTCCAATGAAAACAAGACAGAAGCATTCTGAGAAACTTATTTGTGATGTGTGTCCTCAACTAACGGACTTGAACCTTTCGTTTCACGCAGTACTTCTGGAACACTCTTTTTGAAGATTCTGCATGAGGATATTTGGATAGCTTTGAGGATTTCGTTGGAAATGGGCTTACATATGAAAATTAGACAGCAGCATTCTCAGAAACTTCTTTGTGGTGTCTGCATTCAAGTCACAGAATTGAACATCCCCTCACATAGAGCAGTTGTGCAGCACTCTATTTGTAGTATCTCGAAGTGGACATTTGGAGGGCTTTGTAGCCTATCTGGAAAAAGGAAATATCTTCCCATGAATGCGAGATAGAAGTAATCTCAGAAACATGTTTATGCTGTATCTACTCAACTAACTGTGCTGAACATTTCTATTGATAGAGCAGTTTTGAGACACTCTTCTTTTGGAATCTGCAAGTGGATATTTGGATAGATTTGAGGATTTCGTTGGAAACGGGATTATATATAAAAAGTAGACAGCAGCATTCTCAGAAACTTCTTTGTGATGTTTGCATCCAGCTCTCAGAGTTGAACATTCCCTTTCATAGAGTAGGTTTGAAACCCTCTTTTTATAGTGTCTGGAAGCGGGCATTTGGAGCGCTTTCAGGCCTATGCTGAAAAAGGAAATATCTACCTATAGAAACTAGACAGAAGCATTCTGAGAATCACGTTTGTGATGTGAGTACTCAACTAACAGTGTTGATCCATTCTTTTGATACAGCAGTTTTGAACCACACTTTTTGTAGAATCTGCAAGTGGATATTTGGATAGCTGTGAGGATTTCGTTGGAAACGGGAATGTCTTCATAGAAAATTTAGACAGAAGCATTCTCAGAACCTTGATTGTGATGTGTGTTCTCCACTAACAGGGTTGAACCTTTCTTTTGACAGAACTGTTCCGAAACATTCTTTTTATAGAATCTGGAAGTGGATATTTGGAAAGCTTTGAGGATTTCGATGGAAACGGGAATATCTTCAAATCAAATCTAGCCAGAAACATTCTAAGAAACATCTTAGGGATGTTTACATTCAAGTCACAGAGTTGAACATTCCCTTTCACAGAGCAGGTTTGAAACAATCTTCTCGTACTATCTGGAAGTGGACATTTTGAGCTCCTTGGGGCCTATGCTGAGAAAGGAAATATCTTCCGACAAAAACAAGACAGAAGCATTCGCAGAATCACGTTTGTGATGTGTGCACTCAACTGTCACAATTGAACCTTGGTTTGGACAGAGCACTTTTGAAACACTCTTTTTGTAGAATCTGCAGGTGGATATTTGACTAGCTTTGAGGATTTCGTTGGAAACGGTAATGTCTTCAAAGAAAATCTAGACAGAAGCATTCTCAGAAACACCTTCGTGATGTTTGCAATCAAGTCACAGAGTTGAACCTTCCGTTTCATAGAGCAGGTTGGAAACACTCTTTTTGTAGTATCTGGAAGTGGACATTTGGAGGGCTTTGTAGCCTATCTGGAAAAAGGAAATATCTTCCCATGAATGCGAGATAGAAGTAATCTCAGGAACATGTTTATGCTGTATCTACTCAACTAACTGTGCTGAACATTTCTATTGATAGAGCAGTTTTGAGACACTCTTCTTTTGGAATCTGCAAGTGGATATTTGGATAGATTTGAGGATTTCGTTGGAAACGGGATTATATATAAAAAGTAGACAGCAGCATTCTCAGAAACTTCTTTGTGATGTTTGCATCCAGCTCTCAGAGTTGAACATTCCCTTTCATAGAGTAGGTTTGAAACCCTCTTTTTATAGTGTCTGGAAGCGGGCATTTGGAGCGCTTTCAGGCCTATGCTTAAAATAGGAAATATCTACCTACAGAAACTAGACAGAAGCATTCTGAGAATCACGTTTGTGATGTGGGTACTCAACTAACAGAGTTGATCCATTCTTTTGATACAGCAGTTTTGAACCACACTTTTTGTAGAATCTGCAAGAGGATATTTGGATAGCTGTGAGGATTTCGTTGGAAACGGGAATGTCTTCAAAGAAAATCTAGACAGAAGCATTCTCAGAAACACCTTCGTGATGTTTGCAATCAAGTCACAGAGTTGAACCTTCCGTTTCATAGAGCAGGTTGGAAACACTCTTATTGTAGTATCTGGAAGTGGACATTTGGAGCGCTTTCAGGCCTATGGTGAAAAAGGAAATATGTTCCCATAAAAACGACATAGAAGCTATCTCAGGAACTTGTTTATGATGCATCTAATCAACTAACAGTGTTGAACCTTTGTACTGACAGAGCAGTTTGAAACACTCTTTTTTTGGAATCTGCAAGTGGATATTTGGATCGCTTTGAGGATTTCGTTGGAAACGGGATGCAATATAAAACGTACACAGCAGCATACTCAGAAAATACTTTGCCATATTTCCATTCAAGTCACAGAGTGGAACATTCCCATTCATAGAGCAGGTTTGAAACACTCTTTTTGGAGTATCTGGAAGTGGACATTTGGAGCGCTTTCTGAACTATGGTGAAAAAGGAAATATCTTCCAATGAAAACAAGACAGAAGCATTCTGAGAAACTTATTTGTGATGTGTGTCCTCAACAAACGGACTTGAACCTTTCGTTTCATGCAGTACTTCTGGAACACTCTTTTTGAAGATTCTGCATGCGGATATTTGGATAGCTTTGAGGATTTCGTTGGAAACGGGCTTACATGTAAAAATTAGACAGCAGAATTCTCAGAAACTTCTTTGTGGTGTCTGCATTCAAGTCACAGAATTGAACATCCCCTCACATAGAGCAGTTGTGCAGCACTCTATTTGTAGTATCTGGAAGTGGACATTTGGAGGGCATTGTAGCCTATCTGGAAAAAGGAAATATCTTCCCATGAATGCGAGATAGAAGTAATCTCAGAAACATGTTTATGCTGTATCTACTCAACTAACTGTGCTGAACATTTCTATTGATAGAGCAGTTTTGAGACACTCTTCTTTTGGAATCTGCAAGTGGATATTTGGAGAGATTTGAGGATTTCGTTGGAAATGGGATTATATATAAAAAGTAGACAGCAGCATTCTCAGAAACTTCTTTGTGATGTTTGCATCCAGCTCTCAGAGTTGAACATTCCCTTTCATAGAGTAGGTTTGAAACCCTCTTTTTATAGTGTCTGGAAGCGGGCATTTGGAGCGCTTTCAGGCCTATGCTGAAAAAGGAAATATCTACCTACAGAAACTAGACAGAAGCATTCTGAGAATCACGTTTGTGATGTGGGTACTCAACTAACAGTGTTGATCCATTCTTTTGATACAGCAGTTTTGAACCACACTTTTTGTAGAATCTGCAAGTGGATATTTGGATAGCTGTGAGGATTTCCTTGGAAACGGGAATGTCTTCATAGAAAATTTAGACAGAAGCATTCTCAGAACCTTGATTGTGATGTGTGTTCTCCACTAACAGAGTTGAACCTTTCTTTTGACAGAACTGTTCTGAAACATTCTTTTTATAGAATCTGGAAGTGGATATTTGGAAAGCTTTGAGGATTTCGTTGGAAACGGGAATATCTTCAAAGAAAATCTAGCCAGACGCATTCTAAGGAACATCTTAGGGAAGTTTACATTCAAGTCACAGAGTTGAACATTCCCTTTCACAGAGCAGGTTTGAAACAATCTTCTCGTACTATCTGGAAGTGGACATTTTGAGCTCCTTGGGGCCTATGCTGAAAAAGGAAATATCTTCCGACAAAAACTAGACAGAAGCATTCGCAGAATCACGTTTGTGATGTGTGCACTCAACTGTCAGAATTGAACCTTGGTTTGGACAGAGCACTTTAGAAACACTCTTTTTGTAGAATCTGCAGGTGGATATTTGGCTAGCTTTGAGGATTTTGTTGGAAACGGTAATGTCTTCAAAGAAAATCTAGACAGAAACATTCTCAGAAACACCTTCGTGATGTTTGCAATCAAGTCACAGAGTTGAACCTTCCGTTTCATAGAGCAGGTTGGAAACACTCTTTTTGTAGTATCTGGAAGTGGACATTTGGAGCGCTTTCAGGCCTATGGTGAAAAAGGAAATATCTTCCCATAAAAACGACATAGAAGCTATCTCAGGAACTTGTTTATGATGCATCCAATCAACTAACAGTGTTGAACCTTTGTACTGACAGAGCAGTGTGAAACACTCTTTTTTTTGGAATCTGCAAGTGGATATTTGGATCGCTTTGAGGATTTCGTTGGAAACGGGATGCAATATAAAACGTAAACAGCAGCATACTCAGAAAATACTTTGCCATATTTCCATTCAAGTCACAGAGTGGAACATTCCCATTCATGGAGCAGGTTGGAAACACTCCTTTTCTAGTATCTGGAAGTGGTCATTTGGAGCGCTTTCTGAACTATGATGAAAAAGGAAATATCTTCCAATGAAAACAAGACAGAAGCATTCTGAGAAACTTATTTGTGATGTGTGTCCTCAACAAACGGACTTGAACCTTTCGTTTCATGCAGTACTTCTGGAACACTCTTTTTGAAGATTCTGCATGCGGATATTTGGATAGCTTTGAGGATTTCGTTGGAAACGGGCTTACATGTAAAAATTAGACAGCAGCATTCTCAGAAACTTCTTTGTGGTGTCTGCATTCAAGTCACAGAATTGAACTTCCCCTCACATAGAGCAGTTGTGCAGCACTCTATTTGTAGTATCTGGAAGTGGACATTTGGAGGGCTTTGTAGCCTATCTGGAAAAAGGAAATATCTTCCCATGAATGCGAGATAGAAGTAATCTCAGAAACATGTTTATGCTGTATCTACTCAACTAACTGTGCTGAACATTTCTATTGATAGAGCAGTTTTGAGACACTCTTCTTTTGGAATCTGCAAGTGGATATTTGGATAGATTTGAGGATTTCGTTGGAAACGGGATTATATATCAAAAGTAGACAGCAGCATTCTCAGAAACTTCTTTGTGATGTTTGCATCCAGCTCTCAGAGTTGAACATTCCCTTTCATAGAGTAGGTTTGAAACCCTCTTTTTATAGTGTCTGCAAGCGGGCATTTGGAGCGCTTTCAGGCCTATGCTTAAAATAGGAAATATCTACCTACAGAAACTAGACAGAAGCATTCTGAGAATCACGTTTGTGATGTGGGTACTCAACTAACAGTGTTGATCCATTCTTTTGATACAGCAGTTTTGAACCACACTTTTTGTAGAATCTGCAAGAGGATATTTGGATAGCTGTGAGGATTTCGTTGGAAACGGGAATGTCTTCAAAGAAAATCTAGACAGAAGCATTCTCAGAAATACCTTCGTGATGTTTGCAATCAAGTCACTGAGTTGAACCTTCCGTTTCATAGAGCAGGTTGGAAACACTCTTATTGTAGTATCTGGAAGTGGACATTTGGAGCGCTTTCAGGCCTATGGTGAAAAAGGAAATATCTTCCCATAAAAACGATATAGAAGCTATCTCAGGAACTTGTTTATGATGCATCTAATCAACTAACAGTGTTGAACCTTTGTACTGACAGAGCAGTTTGAAACACTCTTTTTTTGGAATCTGCAAGTGGATATTTGGATCGCTTTGAGGATTTCGTTGGAAACGGGATGCAATATAAAACGTACACAGCAGCATACTCAGAAAATACTTTGCCATATTTCCATTCAAGTCACAGAGTGGAACATTCCCATTCATAGAGCAGGTTGGAAACACTCTTTTTGGAGTATCTGGAAGTGGACATTTGGAGCGCTTTCTGAACTATGGTGAAAAAGGAAATATCTTCCAATGAAAACAAGACAGAGAAGCATTCTGAGAAACTTATTTGTGATGTGTGTCCTCAACAAACGGACTTGAACCTTTCGTTTCATGCAGTACTTCTGGAACACTCTTTTTGAAGATTCTGCATGCGGATATTTGGATAGCTTTGAGGATTTCGTTGGAAACGGTCTTACATGTAAAAATTAGACAGCAGCATTCTCAGAAACTTCTTTGTGGTGTCTGCATTCAAGTCACAGAATTTAACTTCCCCTCACATAGAGCAGTTGTGCAGCACTCTATTTGTAGTATCTGGAAGTGGACATTTGGAGGGCTTTGTAGCCTATCTGGAAAAAGGAAATATCTTCCCATGAATGCGAGATAGAAGTAATCTCAGAAACATGTTTATGCTGTATCTACTCAACTAACTGTGCTGAACATTTCTATTTATAGAGCAGTTTTGAGACACTCTTCTTTTGGAATCTGCAAGTGGATATTTGGATAGATTTGAGGATTTCGTTGGAAACGGGATTATATATCAAAAGTAGACAGCAAGCATTCTCAGAAACTTCTTTGTGATGTTTGCATCCAGCTCTCAGAGTTGAACATTCCCTTTCATAGAGTAGGTTTGAAACCCTCTTTTTATAGTGTCTGGAAGCGGGCATTTTGAGCGCTTTCGGGCCTATGCTGAAAAAGGAAATATCTACCTATAGAAACTAGACAGAAGCATTCTGAGAATCACGTTTGTGATGTGGGTACTCAACTAACAGTGTTGATCCATTCTTTTGATACAGCAGTTTTGAACCACACTTTTTGTAGAATCTGCAAGTGGATATTTGGATAGCTGTGAGGATTTCGTTGGAAACGGGAATGTCTTCATAGAAAATTTAGACAGAAACATTCTCAGAACCTTGATTGTGATGTGTGTTCTCCACTAACAGAGTTGAACCTTTCTTTTGACAGAACTGTTCTGAAACATTCTTTTTATAGAATCTGGAAGTGGATATTTGGAAAGCTTTGAGGATTTCGTTGGAAACGGGAATATCTTCAAATCAAATCTAGCCAGAAGCATTCTAAGAAACATCTTAGGGATGTTTACATTCAAGTCACAGAGTTGAACATTCCCTTTCACAGAGCAGGTTTGAAACAATCTTCTCGTACTATCTGGCAGTGGACATTTTGAGCTCCTTGGGGCCTATGCTGAAAAAGGAAATATCTTCCGACAAAAACTAGACAGAAGCATTCGCAGAATCACGTTTGTGATGTGTGCACTCAACTGTCAGAATTGAACCTTGGTTTGGACAGAGCACTTTTGAAACACTCTCTTTGTAGAATCTGCAGGTGGATATTTGGCTAGCTTTGAGGATTTCGTTGGAAACGGTAATGTCTTCAAAGAAAATCTAGACAGAAGCATTCTCAGAAACACCTTCGTGATGTTTGCAATCAAGTCACAGAGTTGAACCTTCCGTTTCATAGAGCAGGTTGGAAACACTCTTATTGTAGTATCTGGAAGTGGACATTTGGAGCGCTTTCAGGCCTATGGTGAAAAAGGAAATATCTTCCCATAAAAACGACATAGAAGCTATCTCAGAACTTGTTTATGATGCATCTAATCAACTAACAGTGTTGAACCTTTGTACTGACAGAGCAGTTTGAAACACTTTTTTTGGAATCTGCAAGTGGATATTTGGATCGCTTTGAGGATTTCGTTGGAAACGGGATGCAATATAAAACGTACACAGCAGCATACTCAGAAAATACTTTGCCATATTTCCATTCAAGTCACAGAGTGGAACATTCCCATTCATAGAGCAGGTTGGAAACACTCTTTTTGGAGTATCTGGAAGTGGACATTTGGAGCGCTTTCTGAACTATGGTGAAAAAGGAAATATCTTCCAATGAAAACAAGACAGAAGCATTCTGAGAAACTTATTTGTGATGTGTGTCCTCAACAAACGGACTTGAACCTTTCGTTTCATGCAGTACTTCTGGAACACTCTTTTTGAAGATTCTGCATGCGGATATTTGGATAGCTTTGAGGATTTCGTTGGAAACGGGCTTACATGTAAAAATTAGACAGCAGCATTCTCAGAAACTTCTTTGTGGTGTCTGCATTCAAGTCACAGAATTGAACTTCCCCTCACATAGAGCAGTTGTGCAGCACTCTATTTGTAGTATCTGGAAGTGGACATTTGGAGGGCTTTGTAGCCTATCTGGAAAAAGGAAATATCTTCCCATGAATGCGAGATAGAAGTAATCTCAGAAACATGTTTATGCTGTATCTACTCAACTAACTGTGCTGAACATTTCTATTGATAGAGCAGTTTTGAGACACTCTTCTTTTGGAATCTGCAAGTGGATATTTGGATAGATTTGAGGATTTCGTTGGAAACGGGATTATATATAAAAAGTAGACAGCAGCATTCTCAGAAACTTCTTTGTGATGTTTGCATCCAGCTCTCAGAGTTGAACATTCCCTTTCATAGAGTAGGTTTGAAACCCTCTTTTTATAGTGTCTGGAAGCGGGCATTTGGAGCGCTTTCAGGCCTATGCTGAAAAAGGAAATATCTACCTATAGAAACTAGACAGAAGCATTCTGAGAATCACGTTTGTGATGTGGGTACTCAACTAACAGTGTTGATCCATTCTTTTGATACAGCAGTTTTGAACCACACTTTTTGTAGAATCTGCAAGTGGATATTTGGATAGCTGTGAGGATTTCGTTGGAAACGGGAATGTCTTCATAGAAAATTTAGACAGAAACATTCTCAGAAACACCTTCGTGATGTTTGCAATCAAGTCACAGAGTTGAACCTTCCGTTTCATAGAGCAGGTTGGAAACACTCTTTTTGTAGTATCTGGAAGTGGACATTTGGAGCGCTTTCAGGCCTATGGTGAAAAAGGAAATATCTTCCCATAAAAACGACATAGAAGCTATCTCAGGAACTTGTTTATGATGCATCCAATCAACTAACAGTGTTGAACCTTTGTACTGACAGAGCAGTGTGAAACACTCTTTTTTTTGGAATCTGCAAGTGGATATTTGGATCGCTTTGAGGATTTCGTTGGAAACGGGATGCAATATAGAAGTACACAGCAGCATACTCAGAAAATACTTTGCCATATTTCCATTCAAGTCACAGAGTGGAACATTCCCATTCATAGAGCAGGTTTGACACACTCTTTTTGTAGTATCTGGAAGTGGACATTTGGAGCGCTTTCTGAACTATGGTGAAAAAGGAAATATCTTCCAATGAAAACAAGACAGAAGCATTCTGAGAAACTTATTTGTGATGTGTGTCCTCAACTAACGGACTTGAACCTTTCGTTTCATGCAGTACTTCTGGAACACTCTTTTTGAAGATTCTGCATGTGGATATTTGGATAACTTTGAGGATTTCGTTGGAAACGGGCTTACATATAAAAATTAGACAGCAGCATTCTCAGAAACTTCTTTGTGGTGTCTGCATTCAAGTCACAGAATTGAACATCCCCTCACATAGAGCAGTTGTGCAGCACTCTATTTGTAGTATCTCGAAGTGGACATTTGGAGGGCTTTGTAGCCTATCTGGAAAAAGGAAATATCTTCCCATGAATGCGAGATAGAAGTAATCTCAGAAACATGTTTATGCTGTATCTACTAAACTAACTGTGCTGAACATTTCTATTGATAGAGCAGTTTTGAGACACTCTTCTTTTGGAATCTGCTAGTGGATATTTGGATAGATTTGAGGATTTCATTGGAAACGGGATTATATATAAAAAGTAGACAGCAGCATTCTCAGAAACTTCTTTGTGATGTTTGCATCCAGCTCTCAGAGTTGAACATTCCCTTTCACAGAGTAGGTTTGAAACCCCCTTTTTATAGTGTCTGGAAGCGGGCATTTGGAATGCTTTCAGGCCTATGCTGAAAAAGGAAATATCTACCTACAGAAACTAGACAGAAGCGTTCTGAGAATCACGTTTGTGATGTGGGTACTCAACTAACAGTGTTGATCCATTCTTTTGATACAGCAGTTTTGAACCACCCTTTTTGTAGAATCTGCAAGAGGATATTTGGATAGCTGTGAGGATTTAGTTGGAAACGGGAATGTCTTCATAGAAAATTTAGACAGAAGCATTCTCAGAACCTGGATTGTGATGTGTGTTCTCCACTAACAGAGTTGAACCTTTCTTTTGACAGAACTGTTTTGAAACATTCTTTGTATAGAATCTGGAAGTGGATATTTGGAAAGCTTTGAGGAATTCGTTGGAAACGGGAATGTCTTCATAGAAAATTTAGACAGAAGCATTCTAAGAAACATCTTAGGGATGTGTACATTCAAGTCACAGAGTTGAACATTCCCCTTTCTCAGAGCAGGTTTGAAACAATCTTCTCGTACTATCTGGAAGTGGACATTTTGAGCTCCTTGGGGCCTATGCTGAAAAAGGAAATATCTTCCGACAAAAAGTAGACAGAAGCATTCGCAGAATCACGTTTGTGATGTGTGCACTCAACTGTCAGAATTGAACCTTGGTTTGGACAGAGCACTTTTGAAACACTCTTTTTGTAGAATCTGCAGGTGGATATTTGGCTAGCTTTGAGGATTTCGTTGGAAACGGTAATGTCTTCAAAGAAAATCTAGACAGAAGCATTCTCAGAAACACCTTCGTGATGTTTGCAATCAAGTCACAGAGTTGAACCTTCCGTTTCATAGAGCAGGTTGGAAACACTCTTTTTGTAGTATCTGGAAGTGGACATTTGGAGGGCTTTGTAGCCTATCTGGAAAAAGGAAATATCTTCCCATAAATGCGAGATAGAAGTAATCTCAGAAACACGTTTATGCTGTATCTACTCAACTAACTGTGCTGAACATTTCTATTGATAGAGCAGTTTTGAGACACTCTTCTTTTGGAATCTGCAAGTGGATATTTGGATAGATTTGAGGATTTCGTTGGAAACGGGATTATATATAAAAAGTAGACAGCAGCATTCTCAGAAACTTCTTTGTGATGTTTGCATCCAGCTCTCAGAGTTGAACATTCCCTTTCATAGAGTAGGTTTAAAACCCTCTTTTTATAGTGTCTGGAAGCGGGCATTTGGAGCGCTTTCAGGCCTATGCTTAAAATAGGAAATATCTACCTACAGAAACTAGACAGAAGCATTCTGAGAATCACGTTTGTGATGTGGGTACTCAACTAACAGTGTTGATCCATTCTTTTGATACAGCAGTTTTGAACCACACTTTTTGTAGAATCTGCAAGAGGATATTTGGATAGCTGTGAGGATTTCGTTGGAAACGGGAATGTCTTCAAAGAAAATCTAGACAGAAGCATTCTCAGAAACACCTTCGTGATGTTTGCAATCAAGTCACAGAGTTGAACCTTCCGTTTCATAGAGCAGGTTGGAAACACTCTTATTGTAGTATCTGGAAGTGGACATTTGGAGCGCTTTCAGGCCTATGGTGAAAAAGGAAATATCTTCCCATAAAAACGACATAGAAGCTATCTCAGGAACTTGTTTATGATGCATCTACTCAACTAACAGTGTTGAACCTTTGTACTGACAGAGCAGTTTGAAACACTCTTTTTTTGGAATCTGCAAGTGGATATTTGGATCGCTTTGAGGATTTCGTTGGAAACGGGATGCAATATAAAACGTACACAGCAGCATACTCAGAAAATACTTTGCCATATTTCCATTCAAGTCACAGAGTGGAACATTCCCATTCATGGAGCAGGTTGGAAACACTCCTTTTCTAGTATCTGGAAGTGGTCATTTGGAGCGCTTTCTGAACTATGATGAAAAAGGAAATATCTTCCAATGAAAACAAGACAGAAGCATTCTGAGAAACTTATTTGTGATGTGTGTCCTCAACTAACGGACTTGAACCTTTCGTTTCATGCAGTACTTCTGGAACACTCTTTTTGAAGATTCTGCATGTGGATATTTGGATAGCTTTGAGGATTTCGTTGGAAACGGGCTTACATGTAAAAATTAGACAGCAGCATTCTCAGAAACTTCTTTGTGGTGTCTGCGTTCAAGTCACAGAATTGAACATCCCCTCACATAGAGCAGCTGTGCAGCACTCTATTTGTAGTATCTCGAAATGTACATTTGGAGGGCTTTGTAGCCTATCTGGAAAAAGGAAATATCTTCCCATGAATGCGAGATAGAAGTAATCTCAGAAACATGTTTATGCTGTATCTACTCAACTAACTGTGCTGAACATCTCTATTGATAGAGCAGTTTTGAGACACTCTTCTTTTGGAATCTGCAAGTGGATATTTGGATAGATTTGAGGATTTCGTTGGAAACGGGATTATATATCAAAAGTAGACAGCAGCATTCTCAGAAACTTCTTTGTGATGTTTGCATCCAGCTCTCAGAGTTGAACATTCCCTTTCATAGAGTAGGTTTGAAACCCTCTTTTTATAGTGTCTGGAAGCGGGCATTTGGAGCGCTTTCAGGCCTATGCTGAAAAAGGAAATATCTACCTACAGAAACTAGACAGAAGCATTCTGAGAATCACGTTTGTGATGTGGGTACTCAACTAACAGTGTTGATCCATTCTTTTGATACAGCAGTTTTGAACCACACTTTTTGTAGAATCTGCAAGTGGATATTTGGATAGCTGTGAGGATTTCGTTGGAAACGGGAATGTCTTCATAGAAAATTTAGACAGAAGCATTCTCAGAACCTTGATTGTGATGTGTGTTCTCCACTAACAGAGTTGAACCTTTCTTTTGACAGAACTGTTCTGAAACATTCTTTTTATAGAATCTGGAAGTGGATATTTGGAAAGCTTTGAGGATTTCGTTGGAAACGGGAATATCTTCAAATAAAATCTAGCCAGAAGCATTCTAAGAAACATCTTAGGGATGTTTACATTCAAGTCACAGAGTTGAACATTCCCTTTCACAGAGCAGGTTTGAAACAATCTTCTCGTACTATCTGGCAGTGGACATTTTGAGCTCCTTGGGGCCTATGCTGAAAAAGGAAATATCTTCCGACAAAAACTAGACAGAAGCATTCGCAGAATCACGTTTGTGATGTGTGCACTCAACTGTCAGAATTGAACCTTTGTTTCGACAGAGCACCTATGAAACACTCTTTTTGTAGAATCTGCAGGTGGATATTTGGCTAGCTTTGAGGATTTCGTTGGAAACGGTAATGTCTTCAAAGAAAATCAAGACAGAAACATCCTCAGAAACACCTTCGTGATGTTTGCAATCAAGTCACAGAGTTGAACCTTCCGTTTCATAGAGCAGGTTGGAAACACTCATTTTGTAGTATCTGGAAGTGGACATTTGGAGCGCTTTCAGGCCTATGGTGTAAAAGGAAATATGTTCCCATAAAAACGACATAGAATCTATATCAGGAACTTGTTTATGATGCATCTAATCAACTAACAGTGTTGAACCTTTGTACTGACAGAGCAGTTTGAAACACTCTTTTTTTGGAATCTGCAAGTGGATATTTGGATCGCTTTGAGGATTTCGTTGGAAACGGGATGCAATATAAAACGTACACAGCAGCATACTCAGAAAATTCTTTGCCATATTTCCATTCAAGTCACAGAGTGGAACATTCCCATTCATAGAGCAGGTTGGAAACACTCTTTTTGGAGTATCTGGAAGTGGACATTTGGAGCGCTTTCTGAACTATGGTGAAAAAGGAAATATCTTCCAATGAAAACAAGACAGAAGCATTCTGAGAAACTTATTTGTGATGTGTGTCCTCAACAAACGGACTTGAACCTTTCGTTTCATGCAGTACTTCTGGAACACTCTTTTTGAAGATTCTGCATGCGGATATTTGGATAGCTTTGAGGATTTCGTTGGAAACGGGCTTACATGTAAAAATTAGACAGCAGCATTCTCAGAAACTTCTTTGTGGTGTCTGCATTCAAGTCACAGAATTGAACATCCCCTCACATAGAGCAGTTGTGCAGCACTCTATTTCTAGTATCTGGAAGTGGACATTTGGAGGGCTTTGTAGCCTATGTGGAAAAAGGAAATATCTTCCCATGAATGCGAGATAGAAGTAATCTCAGAAACATGTTTATGCTGTATCTACTCAACTAACTGTGCTGAACATTTCTATTGATAGAGCAGTTTTGAGACACTCTTCTTTTGGAATCTGCAAGTGGATATTTGGATAGATTTGAGGATTTCGTTGGAAACGGGATTATATATAAAAAGTAGACAGCAGCATTCTCAGACACTTCTTTGTGATGTTTGCATCCAGCTCTCAGAGTTGAACATTCCCTTTCATAGAGTAGGTTTGAAACCCTCTTTTTATAGTGTCTGGAAGCGGGCATTTGGAGCGCTTTCAGGCCTATGCTTAAAATAGGAAATATCTACCTACAGAAACTAGACAGAAGCATTCTGAGAATCACGTTTGTGATGTGGGTACTCAACTAACAGTGTTGATCCATTCTTTTGATACAGCAGTTTTGAACCACACTTTTTGTAGAATCTGCAAGAGGATATTTGGATAGCTGTGAGGATTTCGTTGGAAACGGGAAAGTCTTCAAAGAAAATCTAGACAGAAGCATTCTCAGAACCTTGATTGTGATGTGTGTTCTCCACTAACAGAGTTGAACCTTTCTTTTGACAGAACTGTTCTGAAACATTCTTTTTATAGAATCTGGAAGTGGATATTTGGAAAGCTTTGAGGATTTCGTTGGAAACGGGAATATCTTCAAATAAAATCTAGCCAGAAGCATTCTAAGAAACATCTTAGGGATGTTTACATTCAAGTCACAGAGTTGAACATTCCCTTTCACAGAGCAGGTTTGAAACAATCTTCTCGTACTATCTGGCAGTGGACATTTTGAGCTCCTTGGGGCCTATGCTGAAAAAGGAAATATCTTCCGACAAAAACTAGACAGAAGCATTCGCAGAATCACGTTTGTGATGTGTGCACTCAACTGTCAGAATTGAACCTTGGTTTGGACAGAGCACTTTTGAAACACTCTTTTTGTAGAATCTGCAGGTGGATATTTGGCTAGCTTTGAGGATTTCGTTGGAAACGGAAATGTCTTCAAAGAAAATCTAGACAGAAGCATTCTCAGAAATACCTTCGTGATGTTTGCAATCAAGTCACAGAGTTGAACCTTCCGTTTCATAGAGCAGGTTGGAAACACTCTTATTGTAGTATCTGGAAGTGGACATTTGGAGCGCTTTCAGGCCTATGGTGAAAAAGGAAATATCTTCCCATAAAAACGATATAGAAGCTATCTCAGGAACTTGTTTATGATGCATCTAATCAACTAACAGTGTTGAACCTTTGTACTGACAGAGCAGTTTGAAACACTCTTTTTTTGGAATCTGCAAGTGGATATTTGGATCGCTTTGAGGATTTCGTTGGAAACGGGATGCAATATAAAACGTACACAGCAGCATACTCAGAAAATACTTTGCCATATTTCCATTCAAGTCACAGAGTGGAACATTCCCATTCATAGAGCAGGTTTGAAACACTCTTTTTGGAGTATCTGGAAGTGGACATTTGGAGCGCTTTCTGAACTATGGTGAAAAAGGAAATATCTTCCAATGAAAACAAGACAGAAGCATTCTGAGAAACTTATTTGTGATGTGTGTCCTCAACAAACGGACTTGAACCTTTCGTTTCATGCAGTACTTCTGGAACACTCTTTTTGAAGATTCTGCATGCGGATATTTGGATAGCTTTGAGGATTTCGTTGGAAACGGGCTTACATGTAAAAATTAGACAGCAGCATTCTCAGAAACTTCTTTGTGGTGTCTGCATTCAAGTCACAGAATTGAACTTCCCCTCACATAGAGCAGTTGTGCAGCACTCTATTTGTAGTATCTGGAAGTGGACATTTGGAGGGCTTTGTAGCCTATCTGGAAAAAGGAAATATCTTCCCATGAATGCGAGATAGAAGTAATCTCAGAAACATGTTTATGCTGTATCTACTCAACTAACTGTGCTGAACATTTCTATTGATAGAGCAGTTTTGAGACACTCTTCTTTTGGAATCTGCAAGTGGATATTTGGATAGATTTGAGGATTTCGTTGGAAACGGGATTATATATAAAAAGTAGACAGCAGCATTCTCAGAAACTTCTTTGTGATGTTTGCATCCAGCTCTCAGAGTTGAACATTCCCTTTCATAGAGTAGGTTTGAAACCCTCTTTTTATAGTGTCTGGAAGCGGGCATTTGGAGCGCTTTCAGGCCTATGCTTAAAATAGGAAATATCTACCTACAGAAACTAGACAGAAGCATTCTGAGAATCACGTTTGTGATGTGGGTACTCAACTAACAGTGTTGATCCATTCTTTTGATACAGCAGTTTTGAACCACACTTTTTGTAGAATCTGCAAGAGGATATTTGGATAGCTGTGAGGATTTCGTTGGAAACGGGAATGTCTTCAAAGAAAATCTAGACAGAAGCATTCTCAGAAACACCTTCGTGATGTTTGCAATCAAGTCACAGAGTTGAACCTTCCGTTTCATAGAGCAGGTTGGAAACACTCTTATTGTAGTATCTGGAAGTGGACATTTGGAGCGCTTTCAGGCCTATGGTGAAAAAGGAAATATCTTCCCATAAAAACGACATAGAAGCTATCTCAGGAACTTGTTTATGATGCATCTAATCAACTAACAGTGTTGAACCTTTGTACTGACAGAGCAGTTTGAAACACTCTTTTTTTGGAATCTGCAAGTGGATATTTGGATCGCTTTGAGGATTTCGTTGGAAACGCGATGCAATATAAAACGTACACAGCAGCATACTCAGAAAATACTTTGCCATATTTCCATTCAAGTCACAGAGTGGAACATTCCCATTCATAGAGCAGGTTTGAAACACACTTTTTGGAGTATCTGGAAGTGGACATTTGGAGCGCTTTCTGAACTATGGTGAAAAAGGAAATATCTTCCAATGAAAACAAGACAGAAGCATTCTGAGAAACTTATTTGTGATGCGTGTCCTCAACTAACGGACTCGAAGCTTTCGTTTCATGCAGTACTTCTGGAACACTCTTTTTGAAGATTCTGCATGCGGATATTTGGTTAGCTTTGAGGATTTCGTTGGAAACGGGCTTACATATAAAAATTAGACAGGAGCATTCTCAGAAACTTCTTTGTGGTGTCTGCATTCAAGTCACAGAATTGAACATCCCCTCACATAGAGCAGTTGTGCAGCACTCTATTTGTAGTATCTCGAAGTGGACATTTGGAGGGCTTTGTAGCCTATCTGGAAAAAGGAAATATCTTCCCATGAATGCGAGATAGAAGTAATCTCAGAAACATGTTTATGCTGTATCTACTCAACTAACTGTGCTGAACATTTCTATTGATAGAGCAGGTTTGAGACACTCTTCTTTCGGAATCTGCAAGTGGATATTTGGAAAGATTTGAGGATTTCGTTGGCAACGGGATTATATATAAAAAGTAGACAGCCGCATTCTCAGAAACTTCTTTGTGATGTTTGCATCCAGCTCTCAGAGTTCAACATTCCCTTTCGTAGAGTAGGTTTGAAACCCTCTTTTTATAGTGTCTGGAAGCGGGCATTTGGAGCGCTTTCAGGCCTATGCTGAAAAAGGAAATATCTACCTATAGAAACTAGACAGAAGCATTCTGAGAATCACGTTTGTGATGTGGGTACTCAACTAACAGTGTTGATCCATTCTTTTGATACAGCAGTTTTGAACCACACTTTTTGTAGAATCTGCAAGTGGATATTTGGATAGCTGTGAGGATTTCCTTGGAAACGGGAATGCCTTCATAGAAAATTTAGACAGAAGCATTCTCAGAACCTTGATTGTGATGTGTGTTCTCCACTAACAGAGTTGAACCTTTCTTTTGACAGAACTGTTCTGAAACATTCTTTTTATAGAATCTGGAAGTGGATATTTGGAAAGCTTTGAGGATTTCGTTGGAAACGGGAATATCTTCAAATCAAATCTAGCCAGAAGCATTCTAAGAAACATCTTAGGGATGTTTACATTCAAGTCACAGAGTTGAACATTCCCTTTCACAGAGCAGGTTTGAAACAATCTTCTCGTACTATCTGGAAGTGGACAGTTTGAGCTCCTTGGGGCCTATGCTGAAAAAGGAAATAAATTCTGACAAAAACTAGACAGAAGCATTCGCAGAATCACGTTTGTGATGTGTGCACTCAACTGTCAGAATTGAACCTTGGTTTGGACAGAGCACTTTTGAAACACTCTTTTTGTAGAATCTGCAGGTGGATATTTGGCTAGCTTTGAGGATTTCGTTGGAAACGGTAATGTCTTCAAAGAAAATCTAGACAGAAGCATTCTCAGAAACACCTTCGTGATGTTTGCAATCAAGTCACAGAGTTGAACCTTCCGTTTCATAGAGCAGGTTGGAAACACTCTTTTTGTAGTATCTGGAAGTGGACATTTGGAGGTCTTTGTAGCCTATCTGGAAAAAGGAAATATCTTCCCATGAATGCGAGATAGAAGTAATCTCAGAAACATGTTTATGCTGTATCTACTCAACTAACTGTGCTGAACATTTCTATTGATAGAGCAGTTTTGAGACACTCTTCTTTTGGAATCTGCAAGTGGATATTTGGATAGATTTGAGGATTTCGTTGGAAACGGGATTATATATCAAAAGTAGACAGCAGCATTCTCAGAAACTTCTTTGTGATGTTTGCATCCAGCTCTCAGAGTTGAACATTCCCTTTCATAGAGTAGGTTTGAAACCCTCTTTTTATAGTGTCTGGAAGCGGGCATTTGGAGCACTTTCAGGCCTATGCTGAAAAAGGAAATATCTACCTATAGAAACTAGACAGAAGCATTCTGAGAATCACGTTTGTGATGTGGGTACTCAACTAACAGTGTTGATCCATTCTTTTGATACAGCAGTTTTGAACCACACTTTTTGTAGAATCTGCAAGTGGATATTTGGATAGCTGTGAGGATTTCGTTGGAAACGGGAATGTCTTCATAGAAAATTTAGACAGAAGCATTCTCAGAACCTGGATTGTGGTGTGTGTTCTCCACTAACAGAGTTGAACCTTTCTTTTGACAGAACTGTTTTGAAACATTCTTTTTATAGAATCTGGAAGTGGATATTTGGAAAGCTTTGAGGATTTCGTTAGAAACGGGAATATCTTCAAATAAAATCTAGCCAGAAGCATTCTAAGAAACATCTTAGGGATGTGTACATTCAAGTCACAGAGTTGAACATTCCCCTTTCTCAGAGCAGGTTTGAAACAATCTTCTCGTACTATCTGGCAGTGGACATTTTGAGCTCCTTGGGGCCTATGCTGAAAAAGGAAATATCTTCCGACAAAAACTAGACAGAAGCATTCGCAGAATCACGTTTGTGATGTGTGCACTCAACTGTCAGAATTGAACCTTGGTTTGGACAGAGCACTTTTGAAACACTCTTTTTGTAGAATCTGCAGGTGGATATTTGGCTAGCTTTGAGGATTTCGTTGGAAACGGTAATGTCTTCAAAGAAAATCTAGACAGAAGCATTCTCAGCAAACACCTTCGTGATGTTTGCAATCAAGTCACAGAGTTGAACCTTCCGTTTCATAGAGCAGGTTGGAAACACTCTTTTTGTAGTATCTGGAAGTGGACATTTGGAGGGCTTTGTAGCCTATGTGGAAAAAGGAAATATCTTCCCATGAATGCGAGATAGAAGTAATCTCAGAAACATGTTTATGCTGTATCTACTCAACTAACTGTGCTGAACATTTCTATTGATAGAGCAGTTTTGAGACACTCTTCTTTTGGAATCTGCAAGTGGATATTTGGAGAGATTTGAGGATTTCGTTGGAAACGGGATTATATATAAAAAGTAGACAGCAGCATTCTCAGAAACTTCTTTGTGATGTTTGCATCCAGCTCTCAGAGTTGAACATTCCCTTTCATAGAGTAGGTTTGAAACCCTCTTTTTATAGTGTCTGGAAGCGGGCATTTGGAGCGCTTTCAGACCTATGCTTAAAATAGGAAATATCTACCTACAGAAACTAGACAGAAGCATTCTGAGAATCTCGTTTGTGATGTGGGTACTCAACTAACAGTGTTGATCCATTCTTTTGATACAGCAGTTTTGAACCACACTTTTTGTAGAATCTGCAAGAGGATATTTGGATAGCTGTGAGGATTTCGTTGGAAACGGGAATGTCTTCAAAGAAAATCTAGACAGAAACATTCTCAGAAACACCTTCGTGATGTTTGCAATCAAGTCACAGAGTTGAACCTTCCGTTTCATAGAGCAGGTTGGAAACACTCTTATTGTAGTATCTGGAAGTGGACATTTGGAGCGCTTTCAGGCCTATGGTGAAAAAGGAAATATCTTCCCATAAAAACGACATAGAAGCTATCTCAGGAACTTGTTTATGATGCATCTAATCAACTAACAGTGTTGAACCTTTGTACTGACAGAGGAGTTTGAAACACTCTTTTTTTGGAATCTGCAAGTGGATATTTGGATCGCTTTGAGGATTTCGTTGGAAACGGGATGCAATATAAAACGTACACAGCAGCATACTCAGAAAATACTTTGCCATATTTCCATTCAAGTCACAGAGTGGAACATTCCCATTCATAGAGCAGGTTGGAAACACTCTTTTTGGAGTATCTGGAAGTGGACATTTGGAGCGCTTTCTGAACTATGGTGAAAAAGGAAATATCTTCCAATGAAAACAAGACAGAAGCATTCTGAGAAACTTATTTGTGATGTGTGTCCTCAACAAACGGACTTGAACCTTTCGTTTCATGCAGTACTTCTGGAACACTCTTTTTGAAGATTCTGCATTCGGATATTTGGATAGCTTTGAGGATTTCGTTGGAAACGGGCTTACATGTAAAAATTAGACAGCCAGCATTCTCAGAAACTTCTTTGTGGTGTCTGCATTCAAGTCACAGAATTGAACATCCCCTCACATAGAGCAGTTGTGCAGCACTCTATTTGTAGTATCTGGAAGTGGACATTTGGAGGGCTTTGTAGCCTATCTGGAAAAAGGAAATATCTTCCCATGAATGCGAGATAGAGTAATCTCAGAAACATGTTTATGCTGTATCTACTCAACTAACTGTGCTGAACATTTCTATTGATAGAGCAGTTTTGAGACACTCTTCTTTTGGAATCTGCAAGTGGATATTTGGATAGATTTGAGGATTTCGTTGGAAACGGGATTATATATAAAAAGTAGACAGCAGCATTCTCAGAAACTTCTTTGTGATGTTTGCATCCAGCTCTCAGAGTTGAACATTCCCTTTCATAGAGTAGGTTTGAAACCCTCTTTTTATAGTGTCTGGAAGCGGGCATTTGGAGCGCTTTCAGGCCTATGCTTAAAATAGGAAATATCTACCTACAGAAACTAGACAGAAGCATTCTGAGAATCACGTTTGTGATGTGGGTACTCAACTAACAGTGTTGATCCATTCTTTTGATACAGCAGTTTTGAACCACACTTTTTGTAGAATCTGCAAGAGGATATTTGGATAGCTGTGAGGATTTCGTTGGAAACGGGAATGTCTTCAAAGAAAATCTAGACAGAAGCATTCTCAGAAACACCTTCGTGATGTTTGCAATCAAGTCACAGAGTTGAACCTTCCGTTTCATAGAGCAGGTTGGAAACACTCTTTTTGTAGTATCTGGAAGTGGACATTTGGAGCGCTTTCAGGCCTATGGTGAAAAAGGAAATATCTTCCCATAAAAACGACATAGAAGCTATCTCAGGAACTTGTTTATGATGCATCTAATCAACTAAGAGTGTTGAACCTTTGTACTGACAGAGCAGTTTGAAACACTCTTTTTTTGGAATCTGCAAGTGGATATTTGGATCGCTTTGAGGATTTCGTTGGAAACGGGATGCAATATAAAACGTACACAGCAGCATACCCAGAAAATACTTTGCCATATTTCCATTCAAGTCACAGAGTGGAACATTCCCATTCATAGAGCAGGTTGGAAACACTCTTTTTGGAGTATCTGGAAGTGGACATTTGGAGCGCTTTCTGAACTATGGTGAAAAAGGAAATATCTTCCAATGAATACAAGACACAAGCATTCTGAGAAACTTATTTGTGATGCGTGTCCTCAACAAACGGACTCGAAGCTTTCGTTTCATGCAGTACTTCTGGAACACTCTTTTTGAAGATTCTGCATGCAGATATTTCGTTAGCTTTGAGGATATCGTTGGAAACGGGCTTACATATAAAAATTAGACAGCAGCATTCTCAGAAACTTCTTTGTGGTGTCTGCATTCAAGTCACAGAATTGAACTTCCCCTCACATAGAGCAGTTGTGCAGCACTCTATTTGTAGTATCTGGAAGTGGACATTTGGAGGGCTTTGTAGCCTATCTGGAAAAAGGAAATATCTTCCCATGAATGCGAGATAGAAGTAATCTCAGAAACATGTTTATGCTGTATCTACTCAACTAACTGTGCTGAACATTTCTATTGATAGAGCAGTTTTGAGACACTCTTCTTTTGGAATCTGCAAGTGGATATTTGGATAGATTTGAGGATTTCCTTGGAAACGGGATTATATATCAAAAGTAGACAGCAGCATTCTCAGAAACTTCTTTGTGAGTTTTGCATCCAGCTCTCAGAGTTGAACATTCCCTTTCGTGGAGTAGGTTTGAAACCCTCTTTTTATAGTGTCTGGAAGTGGGCATTTGGAGCGCTTTCAGGCCTATGCTGAAAAAGGAAATATCTACCTATAGAAACTAGACAGAAAGCATTCTGAGAATCACGTTTGTGATGTGGGTACTCAACTAACAGTGTTGATCCATTCTTTTGATACAGCAGTTTTGAACCACACTTTTTGTAGAATCTGCAAGTGGATATTTGGATAGCTGTGAGGATTTCGTTGGAAACGGGAATGTCTTCATAGAAAATTTAGACAGAAGCATTCTCAGAACCTTGATTGTGATGTGTGTTCTCCACTAACAGAGTTGAACCTTTCTTTTGACAGAACTGTTCTGAAACATTCTTGTTATAGAATCTGGAAGTGGATATTTGGAAAGCTTTGAGGATTTCGTTGGAAACGGGAATATCTTCAAATCAAATCTAGCCAGAAGCATTCTAAGAAACATCTTAGGGATGTTTACATTCAAGTCACAGAGTTGAACATTCCCTTTAACAGAGCAGGTTTGAAACAATCTTCTCGTACTATCTGGAAGTGGACATTTTGAGCTCCTTGGGGCCTATGCTGAAAAAGGAAATATCTTCCAACAAAAACTAGACAGAAGCATTCGCAGAATCACGTTTGTGATGTGTGCACTCAACTGTCAGAATTGAACCTTGGTTTGGACAGAGCACTTTTGAAACACTCTTTTTGTAGAATCTGCAGGTGGATATTTGGCTAGCTTTGAGGATTTCGTTGGAAACGGTAATGTCTTCAAAGAAAATCTAGACAGAAACATTCTCAGAAACACCTTCGTGATGTTTGCAATCAAGTCACAGAGTTGAACCTTCCGTTTCATAGAGCAGGTTGCAAACATTCTTTTTGTAGTATCTGGAAGTGGACATTTGGAGCGCTTTCAGGCCTATGGTGAAAAAGGAAATATCTTCCAATAAAAACGACATAGAAGCTATCTCAGGAACTTGTTTATGATGCATCCAATCAACTAACAGTGTTGAACATTTGTACTGACAGAGCAGTGTGAAACACTCTTTTTTTTGGAATCTGCAAGTGGATATTAGGATCGCTTTGAGGATTTCGTTGGAAACGGGATGCAATATAAAACGTACACAGCAGCATACTCAGAAAATACTTTGCCATATTTCCATTCAAGTCACAGAGTGGAACATTCCCATTCATAGAGCAGGTTTGAAACACTCTTTTTGGAGTATCTGGAAGTGGACATTTGGAGCGCTTTCTGAACTATGGTGAAAAAGGAAATATCTTCCAATGAAAACAAGACAGAAGCATTCTGAGAAACTTATTTGTGATGTGTGTCCTCAACAAACGGGACTTGAACCTTTCGTTTCATGCAGTACTTCTGGAACACTCTTTTTGAAGATTCTGCATGCGGATATTTGGATAGCTTTGAGGATTTCGTTGGAAACGGGCTTACATGTAAAAATTAGACAGCAGCATTCTCAGAAACTTCTTTGTGGTGTCTGCATTCAAGTCACAGAATTGAACATCCCCTCACATAGAGCAGCTGTGCAGCACTCTATTTGTAGTATCTCGAAGTGGACATTCGGAGGGCTTTGTAGCCTATCTGGAAAAAGGAAATATCTTCCCATGAATGCGAGATAGAAGTAATCTCAGAAACATGTTTATGCTGTATCTACTCAACTAACTGTGCTGAACATTTCTATTGATAGAGCAGTTTTGAGACACTCTTCTTTTGGAATCTGCAAGTGGATATTTGGATAGATTTGAGGATTTCCTTGGAAACGGGATTCTATATCAAAAGTAGACAGCAGCATTCTCAGAAACTTCTTTATGATGTTTGCATCCAGCTCTCAGAGTTGAACATTCCCTTTCGTAGAGTAGGTTTGAAACCCTCTTTTTATAGTGTCTGGAAGCGGGCATTTGGAGCGCTTTCAGGCCTATGCTGAAAAAGGAAATATCTACCTATAGAAAGTAGACAGAAGCATTCTGAGAATCACGTTTGTGATGTGGGTACTCAACTAACAGTGTTGATCCATTCTTTTGATACAGCAGTTTTGAACCACACTTTTTGTAGAATCTGCAAGTGGATATTTGGATAGCTGTGAGGATTTCGTTGGAAACGGGAATGTCTTCATAGAAAATTTAGACAGAAGCATTCTCAGAACCTTGATTGTGATGTGTGTTCTCCACTAACAGAGTTGAACCTTTCTTTTGACAGAACTGTTCTGAAACATTCTTTTTATAGAATCTGGAAGTGGATATTTGGAAAGCTTTGCGGATTTCGTTGGAAACGGGAATATCTTCAAATAAAATCTAGCCAGAAGCATTCTAAGAAACATCTTAGGGATGTTTACATTCAAGTCACAGAGTTGAACATTCCCTTTCACGGAGCAGGTTTGAAACAATCTTCTCGTACTATCTGGCAGTGGACATTTTGAGCTCTTTGGGGCCTATGCTGAAAAAGGAAATATCTTCCGACAAAAACTAGACAGAAGCATTCGCAGAATCACGTTTGTGATGTGTGCACTCAACTGTCAGAATTGAACCTTGGTTTGGACAGAGCACTTTTGAAACACTCTTTTTGTAGAATCTGCAGGTGGATATTTGGCTAGCTTTGAGGATTTCGTTGGAAACGGTAATGTCTTCAAAGAAAATCTAGACAGAAGCATTCTCAGAAACACCTTCGTGATGTTTGCAATCAAGTCACAGAGTTGAACCTTCCGTTTCATAGAGCAGGTTGGAAACACTCTTTTTGTAGTATCTGGAAGTGGACATTTGGAGGGCTTTGTAGCCTATCTGGAAAAAGGAAATATCTTCCCATGAATGCGAGATAGAAGTAATCTCAGAAACATGTTTATGCTGTATCTACTCAACTAACTGTGCTGAACATTTCTATTGATAGAGCAGTTTTGAGACACTCTTCTTTTGGAATCTGCAAGTGGATATTTGGATAGATTTGAGGATTTCGTTGGAAACGGGATTATATATAAAAAGTAGACAGCAGCATTCTCAGCAAACTTCTTTGTGATGTTTGCATCCAGCTCTCAGAGTTGAACATTCCCTTTCATAGAGTAGGTTTGAAACCCTCTTTTTATAGTGTCTGGAAGCGGGCATTTGGAGCGCTTTCAGGCCTATGCTGAAAAAGGAGATATCTACCTATAGAAACTAGACAGAAGCATTCTGAGAATCACGTTTGTGATGTGGGTACTCAACTAACAGTGTTGATCCATTCTTTTGATACAGCAGTTTTGAACCACACTTTTTGTAGAATCTGCAAGTGGATATTTGGATAGCTGTGAGGATTTCGTTGGAAACGGGAATGTCTTCATAGAAAATTTAGACAGAAGCATTCTCAGAACCTGGATTGTGATGTGTGTTCTCCACTAACAGAGTTGAACCTTTCTTTGGACAGAACTGTTTTGAAACATTCTTTTTATAGAATCTGGAAGTGTATATTTGGAAAGCTTTGAGGATTTCGTTGGAAACGGGAATATCTTCAAATAAAATCTAGCCAGAAGCATTCTAAGAAACATCTTAGGGATGTGTACATTCAAGTCACAGAGTTGAACATTCCCCTTTCTCAGAGCAGGTTTGAAACAATCTTCTCGTACTATCTGGCAGTGGACATTTTGAGCTCCTTGGGGCCTATGCTGAAAAAGGAAATATCTTCCGACAAAAACTAGACAGAAGCATTCGCAGAATCACGTTTGTGATGTGTGCACTCAACTGTCAGAATTGAACCTTGGTTTGGACAGAGCACTTTTGAAACACTCTTTTTGTAGAATCTGCAGGTGGATATTTGGCTAGCTTTGAGGATTTCGTTGGAAACGGTAATGTCTTCAAAGAAAATCTAGACAGAAGCATTCTCAGAAACACCTTCGTGATGTTTGCAATCAAGTCACAGAGTTGAACCTTCCGTTTCATAGAGCAGGTTGGAAACACTCTTTTTGTAGTATCTGGAAGTGGACCTTTTGAGCGCTTTCAGGCCTATGGTGAAAAAGGAAATATCTTCCCATAAAAACGACATAGAAGCTATCTCAGGAACTTGTTTATGATGCATCTAATCAACTAACTGTGCTGAACATTTCTATTGATAGAGCAGTTTTGAGACACTCTTCTTTTGGAATCTGCAAGTGGATATTTGGATAGATTTGAGGATTTCGTTGGAAACGGGATTATGTATAAAAAGTACACAGCAGCATTCTCAGAAACTTCTTTGTGATGTTTGCATCCAGCTCTCAGAGTTGAACATTCCCTTTCATAGAGTAGGTTTGAAACCCTCTTTTTATAGTGTCTGGAAGCGGGCATTTGGAGCGCTTTCAGGCCTATGCTGAAAAAGGAAATATCTACCTATAGAAACTAGACAGAAGCATTCTGAGAATCACGTTTGTGATGTGGGTACTCAACTAACAGTGTTGATCCATTCTTTTGATACAGCAGTTTTGAACCACACTTTTTGTAGAATCTGCAAGTGGATATTTGGATAGCTGTGAAGATTTCGTTGGAAACGGGAATGTCTTCATAGAAAATTTAGACAGAAGCATTCTCAGAACCTTGATTGTGATGTGTGTTCTCCACTAACAGAGTTGAACCTTTCTTTTGACAGAACTGTTCTGAAACATTCTTTTTATAGAATCTGGAAGTGGATATTTGGAAAGCTTTGAGGATTTCGTTGGAAACGGGAATATCTTCAAATCAAATCTAGCCAGAAGCATTCTAAGAAACATCTTAGGGATGTTTACATTCAAGTCACAGAGTTGAACATTCCCCTTTCTCAGAGCAGGTTTGAAACAATCTTCTCGTACTATCTGGCAGTGGACATTTTGAGCTCCTTGGGGCCTATGCTGAAAAAGGAAATATTCTTCCGACAAAAACTAGACAGAAGCATTCGCAGAATCACGTTTGTGATGTGTGCACTCAACTGTCAGAATTGAACCTTGGTTTGGACAGAGCACTTTTGAAACACTCTTTTTGTAGAATCTGCAGGTGGATATTTGGCTAGCTTTGAGGATTTCGTTGGAAACGGTAATGTCTTCAAAGAAAATCTAGACAGAAGCATTCTCAGAAACACCTTCGTGATGTTTGCAATCAAGTCACAGAGTTGAACCTTCCGTTTCATAGAGCAGGTTGGAAACACTCTTATTGTAGTATCTGGAAGTGGACATTTGGAGCGCTTTCAGGCCTATGGTGAAAAAGGAAATATCTTCCCATAAAAACGACATAGAAGCTATCTCAGGAACTTGTTTATGATGCATCTAATCAACTAACAGTGTTGAACCTTTGTACTGACAGAGCAGTTTGAAACACTCTTTTTTTGGAATCTGCAAGTGGATATTTGGATCGCTTTGAGGATTTCGTTGGAAACGGGATGCAATATAAAACGTACACAGCAGCATACTCAGAAAATACTTTGCCATATTTCCATTCAAGTCAGAGAGTGGAACATTCCCATTCATAGAGCAGGTTGGAAACACTCTTTTTGGAGTATCTGGAAGTGGACATTTGGAGCGCTTTCTGAACTATGGTGAAAAAGGAAATATCTTCCAATGAAAACAAGACAGAAGCATTCTGAGAAACTTATTTGTGATGTGTGTCCTCAACAAACGGACTTGAACCTTTCGTTTCATGCAGTACTTCTGGAACACTCTTTTTGAAGATTCTGCATGCGGATATTTGCATAGCTTTGAGGATTTCGTTGGAAACGGGCTTACATGTAAAAATTAGACAGCAGAATTCTCAGAAACTTCTTTGTGGTGTCTGCATTCAAGTCACAGAATTGAACTTCCCCTCACATAGAGCAGTTGTGCAGCACTCTATTTGTAGTATCTGGAAGTGGACATTTGGAGGGCTTTGTAGCCTATCTGGAAAAAGGAAATATCTTCCCATGAATGCGAGATAGAAGTAATCTCAGAAACATGTTTATGCTGTATCTACTCAACTAACTGTGCTGAACATTTCTATTGATAGAGCAGTTTTGAGACACTCTTCTTTTGGAATCTGCAAGTGGATATTTGGATAGATTTGAGGATTTCGTTGGAAACGGGATTATATATAAAAAGTAGACAGCAGCATTCTCAGAAACTTCTTTGTGATGTTTGCATCCAGCTCTCAGAGTTGAACATTCCCTTTCATAGAGTAGGTTTGAAACCCTCTTTTTATAGTGTCTGGAAGCGGGCATTTGGAGCGCTTTCAGGCCTATGCTTAAAATAGGAAATATCTACCTACAGAAACTAGACAGAAGCATTCTGAGAATCTCGTTTGTGATGTGGGTACTCAACTAACAGTGTTGATCCATTCTTTTGATACAGCAGTTTTGAACCACACTTTTTGTAGAATCTGCAAGAGGATATTTGGATAGCTGTGAGGATTTCGTTGGAAACGGGAATGTCTTCAAAGAAAATCTAGACAGAAGCATTCTCAGAAACACCTTCGTGATGTTTGCAATCAAGTCACAGAGTTGAACCTTCCGTTTCATAGAGCAGGTTGGAAACACTCTTATTGTAGTATCTGGAAGTGGACATTTGGAGCGCTTTCAGGCCTATGGTGAAAAAGGAAATATCTTCCCATAAAAACGACATAGAAGCTATCTCAGGAACTTGTTTATGAGGCATCTAATCAACTAACAGTGTTGAACCTTTGTACTGACAGAGCAGTTTGAAACACTCTTTTTTTGGAATCTGCAAGTGGATATTTGGATCGCTTTGAGGATTTCGTTGGAAACGGGATGCAATATAAAACGTACACAGCAGCATACTCAGAAAATACTTTGCCATATTTCCATTCAAGTCACAGAGTGGAACATTCCCATTCATAGAGCAGGTTGGAAACACTCTTTTTGGAGTATCTGGAAGTGGACATTTGGAGCGCTTTCTGAACTATGGTGAAAAAGGAAATATCTTCCAATGAAAACAAGACAGAAGCATTCTGAGAAACTTATTTGTGATGTGTGTCCTCAACAAACGGACTTGAACCTTTCGTTTCATGCAGTACTTCTGGAACACTCTTTTTGAAGATTCTGCATGCGGATATTTGGATAGCTTTGAGGATTTCGTTGGAAACGGGCTTACATGTAAAAATTAGACAGCAGCATTCTCAGAAACTTCTTTGTGGTGTCTGCATTCAAGTCACAGAATTGAACTTCCCCTCACATAGAGCAGTTGTGCAGCACTCTATTTGTAGTATCTGGAAGTGGACATTTGGAGGGCTTTGTAGCCTATCTGGAAAAAGGAAATATCTTCCCATGAATGCGAGATAGAAGTAATCTCAGAAACATGTTTATGCTGTATCTACTCAACTAACTGTGCTGAACATTTCTATTGATAGAGCAGTTTTGAGACCCTCTTCTTTTGGAATCTGCAAGTGGATATTTGGATAGATTTGAGGATTTCGTTGGAAACGGGATTATATATAAAAAGTAGACAGCAGCATTCTCAGAAACTTCTTTGTGATGTTTGCATCCAGCTCTCAGAGTTGAACATTCCCTTTCATAGAGTAGGTTTGAAACCCTCTTTTTATAGTGTCTGGAAGCGGGCATTTGGAGCGCTTTCAGGCCTATGCTTAAAATAGGAAATATCTACCTACAGAAACTAGACAGAAGCATTCTGAGAATCACGTTTGTGATGTGGGTACTCAACTAACAGTGTTGATCCATTCTTTTGATACAGCAGTTTTGAACCACACTTTTTGTAGAATCTGCAAGAGGATATTTGGATAGCTGTGAGGATTTCGTTGGAAACGGGAATGTCTTCAAAGAAAATCTAGACAGAAGCATTCTCAGAAACACCTTCGTGATGTTTGCAATCAAGTCACAGAGTTGAACCTTTCGTTTCATAGAGCAGGTTGGAAACACTCTTATTGTAGTATCTGGAAGTGGACATTTGGAGCGCTTTCAGGCCTATGGTGAAAAAGGAAATATCTTCCCATAAAAACGACATAGAAGCTATCTCAGGAACTTGTTTATGATGCATCTAATCAACTAACAGTGTTGAACCTTTGTACTGACAGAGCAGTTTGAAACACTCTTTTTTTGGAATCTGCAAGTGGATATTTGGATCGCTTTGAGGATTTCGTTGGAAACGGGATGCAATATAAAACGTACACAGCAGCATACTCAGAAAATACTTTGCCATATTTCCATTCAAGTCACAGAGTGGAACATTCCCATTCATAGAGCAGGTTTGAAACACTCTTTTTGGAGTATCTGGAAGTGGACATTTGGAGCGCTTTCTGAACTATGGTGAAAAAGGAAATATCTTCCAATGAAAACAAGACAGAAGCATTCTGAGAAACTTATTTGTGATGTGTGTCCTCAACAAACGGACTTGAACCTTTCGTTTCATGCAGTACTTCTGGAACACTCTTTTTGAAGATTCTGCATGCGGATATTTGGATAGCTTTGAGGATTTCGTTGGAAACGGGCTTACATGTAAAAATTAGACAGCAGCATTCTCAGAAACTTTCTTTGTGGTGTCTGCATTCAAGTCACAGAATTGAACTTCCCCTCACATAGAGCAGTTGTGCAGCACTCTATTTGTAGTATCTCGAAGTGGACATTTGGAGGGCTTTGTAGCCTATCTGGAAAAAGGAAATATCTTCCCATGAATGCGAGATAGAAGTAATCTCAGAAACATGTTTATGCTGTATCTACTCAACTACCTGTGCTGAACATTTCTATTGATAGAGCAGTTTTGAGACACTCTTCTTTAGGAATCTGCAAGTGGATATTTGGATAGATTTGAGGATTTCGTTGGAAACGGGATTATATATCAAAAGTAGACAGCAGCATTCTCAGAAACTTCTTTGTGATGTTTGCATCCAGCTCTCAGAGTTGAACATTCCCTTTCATAGAGTAGGTTTGAAACCCTCTTTTTATAGTGTCTGGAAGCGGGCATTTGGAGCGCTTTCAGGCCTATGCTTAAAATAGGAAATATCTACCTACAGAAACTAGACAGAAGCATTCTGAGAATCACGTTTGTGATGTGGGTACTCAACTAACAGTGTTGATCCATTCTTTTGATACAGCAGTTTTGAACCACACTTTTTGTAGAATCTGCAAGTGGATATTTGGATAGCTGTGAGGATTTCGTTGGAAACGGGAATGTCTTCATAGAAAATTTAGACAGAAGCATTCTCGGAACCTTGATTGTGATGTGTGTTCTCCACTAACAGAGTTGAACCTTTCTTTTGACAGAACTGTTATGAAACATTCTTTTTATAGAATCTGGAAGTGGATATTTGGAAAGCTTTGAGGATTTCGTTGGAAACGGGAATATCTTCAAATAAAATCTAGCCAGAAGCATTCTAAGAAACATCTTAGGGATGTTTACATTCAAGTCACAGAGTTGAACATTCCCTTTCACAGAGCAGGTTTGAAACAATCTTCTCGTACTATCTGGCAGTGGACATTTTGAGCTCCTTGGGGCCTATGCTGAAAAAGGAAATATCTTCCGACAAAAACTAGACAGAAGCATTCGCAGAATCACGTTTGTGATGTGTGCACTCAACTGTCAGAATTGAACCTTGGTTTGGACAGAGCACTTTTGAAACACTCTTTTTGTAGAATCTGCAGGTGGATATTTGGCTAGCTTTGAGGATTTCGTTGGAAACGGTAATGTCTTCAAAGAAAATCTACACAGAAGCATTCTCAGAAACACCTTCGTGATGTTTGCAATCAAGTCACAGAGTTGAACCTTCCGTTTCATAGAGCAGGTTGGAAACACTCTTTTTGTAGTATCTGGAAGTGGACATTTGGAGGGCTTTGTAGCCTATCTGGAAAAAGGAAATATCTTCCCATGAATGCGAGATAGAAGCAATCTCAGAAACATGTTTATGCTGTATCTACTCAACTAACTGTGCTGAACATTTCTATTGATAGAGCAGTTTTGAGACACTCTCCTGTTGGAATCTGCAAGTGGATATTTGGATAGATTTGAGGATTTCCTTGGAAACGGGAATATATATCAAAAGTAGACAGCAGCATTCTCAGAAACTTCTTTGTGAGTTTTGCATCCAGCTCTCAGAGTTGAACATTCCCTTTCGTGGAGTAGGTTTGAAACCCTCTTTTTATAGTGTCTGGAAGCAGGCATTTGGAGCGCTTTCAGGCCTATGCTGAAAAAGGAAATATCTACCTATAGAAACTAGACAGAAGCATTCTGAGAATCACGTTTGTGATGTGGGTACTCAACTAACAGTGTTGATCCATTCTTTTGATACAGCAGTTTTGAACCACACTTTTTGTAGAATCTGCAAGTGGATATTTGGATAGCTGTGAGGATTTCCTTGGAAACGGGAATGTCTTCATAGAAAATTTAGACAGAAGCATTCTCAGAACCTTGATTGTGATGTGTGTTCTCCACTAACAGGGTTGAACCTTTCTTTTGACAGAACTGTTTTGAAACATTCTTTTTATAGAATCTGGAAGTGGATATTTGGAAAGCTTTGAGGATTTCGTTGGAAACGGGAATATCTTCAAATCAAATCTAGCCAGAAGCATTCTAAGAAACATCTTAGGGATGTTTACATTCAAGTCACAGAGTTGAACATTCCCTTTCACAGAGCAGGTTTGAAACAATCTTCTCGTACTATCTGGCAGTGGACATTTTGAGCTCCTTGGGGCCTATGCTGAAAAAGGAAATATCTTCCGACAAAAACTAGACAGAAGCATTCGCAGAATCACGTTTGTGATGTGTGCACTCAACTGTCAGAATTGAACCTTGGTTTGGACAGAGCACTTTTGAAACACTCTTTTTGTAGAATCTGCAGGTGGATATTTGGCTAGCTTTGAGGATTTCGTTGGAAACGGTAATGTCTTCAAAGAAAATCTAGACAGAAGCATTCTCAGAAACACCTTCGTGATGTTTGCAATCAAGTCACAGAGTTGAACCTTCCGTTTCATAGAGCAGGTTTGAAACACTCTTTTTGTAGTATCTGGAAGTGGACATTTGGAGGGCTTTGTAGCCTATCTGGAAAAAGGAAATATCTTCCCATGAATGCGAGATAGAAGTAATCTCAGAAACATGTTTATGCTGTATCTACTCAACTAACTGTGCTGAACATTTCTATTGATAGAGCAGTTTTGAGACACTCTTCTTTTGGAATCTGCAAGTGGATATTTGGATAGATTTGAGGATTTCGTTGGAAACGGGATTATATATCAAAAGTAGACAGCAGCATTCTCAGAAACTTCTTTGTGATGTTTGCATCCAGCTCTCAGAGTTGAACATTCCCTTTCATAGAGTAGGTTTGAAACCCTCTTTTTATAGTGTCTGGAAGCGGGCATGTGGAGCGCTTTCAGGCCTATGCTGAAAAAGGAAATATCTACCTACAGAAACTAGACAGAAGCATTCTGAGAATCACGTTTGTGATGTGGGTCCTCAACTAACAGTGTTGATCCATTCTTTTGATACAGCAGTTTGGAACCACCCTTTTTGTAGAATCTGCAAGTGGATATTTGGATAGCTGTGAGGATTTCGTTGGAAACGGGAATGTCTTCATAGAAAATTTAGACAGAAGCATTCTCAGAACCTGGATTGTGATGTGTGTTCTCCACTAACAGAGTTGAACCTTTCTTTGGACAGAACTGTTTTGAAACATTCTTTTTATAGAATCTGGAAGTGGATAGTTGGAAAGCTTTGAGGATTTCGTTGGAAACGGGAATATCTTCAAATAAAATCTAGCCAGAAGCATTCTAAGAAACATCTTAGGGATGTTTACATTCAAGTCACAGAGTTGAACATTCCCCTTTCTCAGAGCAGGTTTGAAACAATCTTCTCGTACTATCTGGCAGTGGACATTTTGAGCTCCTTGGGGCCTATGCTGAAAAAGGAAATATCTTCCGACAAAAACTAGACAGAAGCATTCGCAGAATCACGTTTGTGATGTGTGCACTCAACTGTCAGAAATGAACCTTTGTTTGGACAGAGCACTTTTGAAACACTCTTTTTGTAGAATCTGCAGGTGGATATTTGACTAGCTTTGAGGATTTCGTTGGAAATGGTAATGTCTTCAAAGAAAATCTAGACAGAAACATTCTCAGAAACACCTTCGTGATGTTTGCAATCAAGTCACAGAGTTGAACCTTCCGTTTCATAGAGCAGGTTGGAAACACTCTTTTTGTAGTATCTGGAAGTGGACATTTGGAGCGCTTTCAGGCCTATGGTGAAGAAGGAAATATCTTCCCATAAAAACGACATAGAAGCTATCTCAGGAACTTGTTTATGATGCATCCAATCAACTAACAGTGTTGAACCTTTGTACTGACAGAGCAGTGTGAAACACTCTTTTTTTTGGAATCTGCAAGTGGATATTTGGATCGCTTTGAGGATTTCGTTGGAAACGGGATGCAATATAAAACGTACACAGCAGCATACTCAGAAAATACTTTGCCATATTTCCATTCAAGTCACAGAGTGGAACATTCCCATTCATAGAGCAGGTTGGAAACACTCTTTTTGGAGTATCTGGAAGTGGACATTTGGAGCGCTTTCTGAACTATGGTGAAAAAGGAAATATCTTCCAATGAAAACAAGACAGAAGCATTCTGAGAAACTTATTTGTGATGTGTGTCCTCAACTAACGGACTTGAACCTTTCGTTTCATGCAGTACTTCTGGAACACTCTTTTTGAAGATTCTGCATGCGGATATTTGGATAGCTTTGAGGATTTCGTTGGAAACGGGCTTACATATAAAAATTAGACAGCAGAATTCTCAGAAACTTCTTTGTGGTGTCTGCATTCAAGTCACAGAATTGAACTTCCCCTCACATAGAGCAGTTGTGCAGCACTCTATTTGTAGTATCTCGAAGTGGACATTTGGAGGGCTTTGTAGCCTATCTGGAAAAAGGAAATATCTTCCCATGAATGCGAGATAGAAGTAATCTCAGAAACATGTTTATGCTGTATCTACTCAACTAACTGTGCTGAACATTTCTATTGATAGAGCAGTTTTGAGACACTCTTCTTTTGGAATCTGCAAGTGGATATTTGGATAGATTTGAGGATTTCGTTGGAAACGGGATTATATATAAAAAGTAGACAGCAGCATTCTCAGAAACTTCTTTGTGATGTTTGCATCTAGCTCCCAGAGTTGAACATTCCCTTTCATAGAGTAGTTTTGAAACCCTCTTTTTATAGTGTCTGGAAGCGGGCATTTGGAGCGCTTTCAGGCCTATGCTGAAAAAGGAAATATCTACCTATAGAAACTAGACAGAAGCATTCTGAGAATCACGTTTGTGATGTGGGTACTCAACTAACAGTGTTGATCCATTCTTTTGATACAGCAGTTTTGAACCACACTTTTTGTAGAATCTGCAAGTGGATATTTGGATAGCTGTGAGGATTTCGTTGGAAACGGGAATGTCTTCATAGAAAATTCAGACAGAAGCATTCTCAGAACCTTGATTGTGATGTGTGTTCTCCACTAACAGAGTTGAACCTTTCTTTTGACAGAACTGTTCTGAAACATTCTTTTTATAGAATCTGGAAGTGGATATTTGGAAAGCTTTGAGGATTTCGTTGGAAACGGGAATATCTTCAAATCAAATCTAGCCAGAAGCATTCCAAGAAACATCTTAGGGATGTTTACATTCAAGTCACAGAGTTGAACATTCCCTTTCACAGAGCAGGTTTGAAACAATCTTCTCGTACTATCTGGCAGTGGACATTTTGAGCTCCTTGGGGCCTATGCTGAAAAAGGAAATATCTTCCGACAAAAACTAGACAGAAGCATTCGCAGAATCACGTTTGTGATGTGTGCACTCAACTGTCAGAATTGAACCTTGGTTTGGACAGAGCACTTTTGAAACACTCTTTTTGTAGAATCTGCAGGTGGATATTTGGCTAGCTTTGAGGATTTCGTTGGAAACGGTAATGTCTTCAAAGAAAATCTAGACAGAAACATTCTCAGAAACACCTTCGTGATGTTTGCAATCAAGTCACAGAGTTGAACCTTCCGTTTCATAGAGCAGGTTGCAAACACTCTTTTTGTAGTATCTGGAAGTGGACATTTGGAGCGCTTTCAGGCCTATGGTGAAAAAGGAAATATCTTCCAATAAAAACGACATAGAAGCTATCTCAGGAACTTGTTTATGATGCATCCAATCAACTAACAGTGTTGAACTTTTGTACTGACAGAGCAGTGTGAAACACTCTTTTTTTTGGAATCTGCAAGTGGATATTAGGAACGCTTTGAGGATTTCGTTGGAAACGGGATGCAATATAAAACGTACACAGCAGCATACTCAGAAAATACTTTGCCATATTTCCATTCAAGTCACAGAGTGGAACATTCCCATTCATAGAGCAGGTTGGAAACACTCCTTTTGTAGTATCTGGAAGTGGACATTTGGAGCGCTTTCTGAACTATGGTGAAAAAGGAAATATCTTCGAATGAAAACAAGACAGAAGCATTCTGAGAAACTTATTTGTGATGTGTGTCCTCAACAAACGGACTTGAACCTTTCGTTTCATGCAGTACTTCTGGAACACTCTTTTTGAAGATTCTGCATGCGGATATTTGGATAGCTTTGAGGATTTCGTTGGAAACGGGCTTACATGTAAAAATTAGACAGCAGCATTCTCAGAAACTTCTTTGTGGTGTCTGCATTCAAGTCACAGAATTGAACTTCCCCTCACATAGAGCAGTTGTGCAGCACTCTATTTGTAGTATCTGGAAGTGGACATTTGGAGGGCTTTGTAGCCTATCTGGAAAAAGGAAATATCTTCCCATGAATGCGAGATAGAAGTAATCTCAGAAACATGTTTATGCTGTATCTACTCAACTAACTGTGCTGAACATTTCTATTGATAGAGCAGTTTTGAGACACTCTTCTTTTGGAATCTGCAAGTGGATATTTGGATAGATTTGAGGATTTCGTTGGAAACGGGATTATATATAAAAAGTAGACAGCAGCATTCTCAGAAACTTCTTTGTGATGTTTGCATCCAGCTCTCAGAGTTGAACATTCCCTTTCATAGAGTAGGTTTGAAACCCTCTTTTTATAGTGTCTGGAAGGCGGGCATTTGGAGCGCTTTCAGGCCTATGCTGAAAAAGGAAATATCTACCTATAGAAACTAGACAGAAGCATTCTGAGAATCACGTTTGTGATGTGGGTACTCAACTAACAGTGTTGATCCATTCTTTTGATACAGCAGTTTTGAACCACACTTTTTGTAGAATCTGCAAGAGGATATTTGGATAGCTGTGAGGATTTCGTTGGAAACGGGAATGTCTTCAAAGAAAATCTAGACAGAAACATTCTCAGAAACACCTTCGTGATGTTTGCAATCAAGTCACAGAGTTGAACCTTCCGTTTCATAGAGCAGGTTGGAAACACTCTTATTGTAGTATCTGGAAGTGGACATTTGGAGCGCTTTCAGGCCTATGGTGAAAAAGGAAATATCTTCCCATAAAAACGACATAGAAGCTATCTCAGGAACTTGTTTATGATGCATCTAATCAACTAACAGTGTTGAACCTTTGTACTGACAGAGCACTTTGAAACACTCTTTTTTTGGAATCTGCAAGTGGATATTTGGATCACTTTGAGGATTTCGTTGGAAACGGGATGCAATATAAAACGTACACAGCAGCATACCCAGAAAATACTTTGCCATATTTCCATTCAAGTCACAGAGTGGAACATTCCCATTCATAGAGCAGGTTGGAAACACTCTTTTTGGAGTATCTGGAAGTGGACATTTGGAGCGCTTTCTGAACTATGGTGAAAAAGGAAATATCTTCCAATGAATACAAGACACAAGCATTCTGAGAAACTTATTTGTGATGTGTGTCCTCAACAAACGGACTTGAACCTTTCGTTTCATGCAGTACTTCTGGAACACTCTTTTTGAAGATTCTGCATGCGGATATTTGGATAGCTTTGAGGATTTCGTTGGAAACGGGCTTACATGTAAAAATTAGACAGCAGCATTCTCAGAAACTTCTTTGTGGTGTCTGCATTCAAGTCACAGAATTGAACTTCCCCTCACATAGAGCAGTTGTGCAGCACTCTATTTGTAGTATCTGGAAGTGGACATTTGGAGGGCTTTGTAGCCTATCTGGAAAAAGGAAATATCTTCCCATGAATGCGAGATAGAAGTAATCTCAGAAACATGTTTATGCTGTATCTACTCAACTAACTGTGCTGAACATTTCTATTGATAGAGCAGTTTTGAGACACTCTTCTTTTGGAATCTGCAAGTGGATATTTGGATAGATTTGAGGATTTCGTTGGAAACGGGATTATATATAAAAAGTAGACAGCAGCATTCTCAGAAACTTCTTTGTGATGTTTGCATCCAGCTCTCAGAGTTGAACATTCCCTTTCATAGAGTAGGTTTGAAACCCTCTTTTTATAGTGTCTGGAAGCGGGCATTTGGAGCGCTTTCAGGCCTATGCTTAAAATAGGAAATATCTACCTACAGAAACTAGACAGAAGCATTCTGAGAATCACGTTTGTGATGTGGGTACTCAACTAACAGTGTTGATCCATTCTTTTGATACAGCAGTTTTGAACCACACTTTTTGTAGAATCTGCAAGTGGATATTTGGATAGCTGTGAGGATTTCGTTGGAAACGGGAATGTCTTCATAGAAAATTTAGACAGAAGCATTCTCAGAACCTTGATTGTGATGTGTGTTCTCCACTAACAGAGTTGAACCTTTCTTTTGACAGAACTGTTCTGAAACATTCTTTTTATAGAATCTGGAAGTGGATATTTGGAAAGCTTTGAGGATTTCGTTGGAAACGGGAATATCTTCAAATCAAATCTAGCCAGAAGCATTCTAAGAAACATCTTAGGGATGTTTACATTCAAGTCACAGAGTTGAACATTCCCTTTCACAGAGCAGGTTTGAAACAATCTTCTCGTACTATCTGGCAGTGGACATTTTGAGCTCCTTGGGGCCTATGCTGAAAAAGGAAATATCTTCCGACAAAAACTAGACAGAAGCATTCGCAGAATCACGTTTGTGATGTGTGCACTCAACTGTCAGAATTGAACCTTGGTTTGGACAGAGCACTTTTGAAACACTCTTTTTGTAGAATCTGCAGGTGGATATTTGGCTAGCTTTGAGGATTTCGTTGGAAACGGTAATGTCTTCAAAGAAAATCTAGACAGAAACATCCTCAGAAACACCTTCGTGATGTTTGCAATCAAGTCACAGAGTTGAACCTTCCGTTTCATAGAGCAGGTTGGAAACACTCATTTTGTAGTATCTGGAAGTGGACATTTGGAGCGCTTTCAGGCCTATGGTGTAAAAGGAAATATCTTCCCATAAAAGCGACATAGAAGCTATCTCAGGAACTTGTTTATGATGCCTCTAATCAACTAACAGTGTTGAACCTTTGTACTGACAGAGCAGTTTGAAACACTCTTTTTTTGGAATCTGCAAGTGGATATTTGGATCGCTTTGAGGATTTCGTTGGAAACGGGATGCAATATAAAACGTACACAGCAGCATACTCAGAAAATACTTTGCCATATTTCCATTCAAGTCACAGAGTGGAACATTCCCATTCATAGAGCAGGTTTGACACACTCTTTTTGTAGTATCTGGAAGTGGACATTTGGAGCGCTTTCTGAACTATGGTGAAAAAGGAAATATCTTCCAATGAAAACAAGACAGAAGCATTCTGAGAAACTTATTTGTGATGTGTGTCCTCAACTAACGGACTTGAACCTTTCGTTTCATGCAGTACTTCTGGAACACTCTTTTTGAAGATTCTGCATGCGGATATTTGGATAGCTTTGAGGATTTCGTTGGAAACGGGCTTACATATAAAAATTAGACAGCAGCATTCTCAGAAACTTCTCTGTGGTGTCTGCATCCAAGTCACAGAATTGAACATCCCCTCACATAGAGCAGTTGTGCAGCACTCTATTTGTAGTATCTCGAAGTGGACATTTGGAGGGCTTTGTAGCCTATCTGGAAAAAGGAAATATCTTCCCAAGAATGCGAGATAGAAGTAATCTCAGAAACATGTTTATGCTGTATCTACTCAACTAACTGTGCTGAACATTTCTATTGATAGAGCAGTTTTGAGACACTCTTCTTTTGGAATCTGCAAGTGGATATTTGGAAAGATTTGAGGATTTCGTTGGCAACGGGATTATATATAAAAAGTAGACAGCAGCATTCTCAGAAACTTCTTTGTGATGTTTGCATCCAGCTCTCAGAGTTGAACATTCCGTTTCATAGAGTAGGTTTGAAACCCCCTTTTTATAGTGTCTGGAAGCGGGCATTTGCAGTGCTTTGAGGCCTAAGCTGAAAAAGGAAATATCTACCTACAGAAACTAGACAGAAGCATTCTGAGAATCTCGTTTGTGATGTGGGTACTCAACTAACAGTGTTGATCCATTCTTTTGATACAGCAGTTTTGAACCACACTTTTTGTAGAATCTGCAAGAGGATATTTGGATAGCTGTGAGGATTTCGTTGGAAACGGGAATGTCTTCAAAGAAAATCTAGACAGAAACATTCTCAGAAACACCTTCGTGATGTTTGCAATCAAGTCACAGAGTTGAACCTTCCGTTTCATAGAGCAGGTTGGAAACACTCTTATTGTAGTATCTGGAAGTGGACATTTGGAGCGCTTTCAGGCCTATGGTGAAAAAGGAAATATCTTCCCATAAAAACGACATAGAAGCTATCTCAGGAACTTGTTTATGAGGCATCTAATCAACTAACAGTGTTGAACCTTTGTACTGACAGAGCAGTTTGAAACACTCTTTTTTTGGAATCTGCAAGTGGATATTTGGATCGCTTTGAGGATTTCGTTGGAAACGGGATGCAATATAAAACGTACACAGCAGCATACTCAGAAAATACTTTGCCATATTTCCATTCAAGTCACAGAGTGGAACATTCCCATTCATAGAGCAGGTTGGAAACACTCTTTTTGGAGTATCTGGAAGTGGACATTTGGAGCGCTTTCTGAACTATGGTGAAAAAGGAAATATCTTCCAATGAAAACAAGACAGAAGCATTCTGAGAAACTTATTTGTGATGTGTGTCCTCAACAAACGGACTTGAACCTTTCGTTTCATGCAGTACTTCTGGAACACTCTTTTTGAAGATTCTGCATGCGGATATTTGGATAGCTTTGAGGATTTCGTTGGAAACGGGCTTACATGTAAAAATTAGACAGCAGCATTCTCAGAAACTTCTTTGTGGTGTCTGCATTCAAGTCACAGAATTGAACTTCCCCTCACATAGAGCAGTTGTGCAGCACTCTATTTGTAGTATCTGGAAGTGGACATTTGGAGGGCTTTGTAGCCTATCTGGAAAAAGGAAATATCTTCCCATGAATGCGAGATAGAAGTAATCTCAGAAACATGTTTATGCTGTATCTACTCAACTAACTGTGCTGAACATTTCTATTGATAGAGCAGTTTTGAGACACTCTTATTTTGGAATCTGCAAGTGGATATTTGGATAGATTTGAGGATTTCGTTGGAAACGGGATTATATATAAAAAGTAGACAGCAGCATTCTCAGAAACTTCTTTGTGATGTTTGCATCCAGCTCTCAGAGTTGAACATTCCCTTTCATAGAGTAGGTTTGAAACCCTCTTTTTATAGTGTCTGGAAGCGGGCATTTGGAGCGCTTTCAGGCCTATGCTTAAAATAGGAAATATCTACCTACAGAAACTAGACAGAAGCATTCTGAGAATCACGTTTGTGATGTGGGTACTCAACTAACAGTGTTGATCCATTCTTTTGATACAGCAGTTTTGAACCACACTTTTTGTAGAATCTGCAAGAGGATATTTGGATAGCTGTGAGGATTTCGTTGGAAACGGGAATGTCTTCAAAGAAAATCTAGACAGAAGCATTCTCAGAAACACCTTCGTGATGTTTGCAATCAAGTCACAGAGTTGAACCTTCCGTTTCATAGAGCAGGTTGGAAACACTCTTATTGTAGTATCTGGAAGTGGACATTTGGAGCGCTTTCAGTCCTATTGTGAAAAAGGAAATATCTTCCCATAAAAACGACATAGAAGCTATCTCAGGAACTTGTTTATGATGCCTCCAATCAACTAACAGTGTTGAACCTTTGTACTGACAGAGCAGTTTGAAACACTCTTTTTTTGGAATCTGCAAGTGGATATTTGGATCGCTTTGAGGATTTCGTTGGAAACGGGATGCAATATAAAACGTACACAGCAGCATACTCAGAAAATATTTTGCCATATTTCCATTCAAGTCACAGAGTGGAACATTCCCATTCATAGAGCAGGTTTGAAACACTCTTTTTGGAGTATCTGGAAGTGGACATTTGGAGCGCTTTCTGAACTATGGTGAAAAGGGAAATATGTTCCAATGAAAACAAGACAGAAGCATTCTGAGAAACTTATTTGTGATGTGTGTCCTCAACAAACGGACTTGAACCTTTCGTTTCATGCAGTACTTCTGGAACACTCTTTTTGAAGATTCTGCATGCGGATATTTGGATAGCTTTGAGGATTTCGTTGGAAACGGGCTTACATGTAAAAATTAGACAGCAGCATTCTCAGAAACTTCTTTGTGGTGTCTGCATTCAAGTCACAGAATTGAACATCCCCTCACATAGAGCAGTTGTGCAGCACTCTATTTGTAGTATCTCGAAGTGGACATTTGGAGGGCTTTGTAGCCTATGTGGAAAAAGGAAATATCTTCCCATGAATGCGAGATAGAAGTAATCTCAGAAACATGTTTATGCTGTATCTACTCAACTAACTGTGCTGAACATTTCTATTGATAGAGCAGTTTTGAGACACTCTTCTTTTGGAATCTGCAAGTGGATATTTGGATAGATTTGAGGATTTCGTTGGAAACGGGATTATATATAAAAAGTAGACAGCAGCATTCTCAGAAACTTCTTTGTGATGTTTGCATCCAGCTCTCAGAGTTGAACATTCCCTTTCATAGAGTAGGTTTGAAACCCTCTTTTTATAGTGTCTGGAAGCGGGCATTTGGAGCGCTTTCAGGCCTATGCTGAAAAAGGAAATATCTACCTATAGAAACTAGACAGAAGCATTCTGAGAATCACGTTTGTGATGTGGGTACTCAACTAACAGTGTTGATCCATTCTTTTGATACAGCAGTTTTGAACCACACTTTTTGTAGAATCTGCAAGTGGATATTTGGATAGCTGTGAGGATTTCGTTGGAAACGGGAATGTCTTCATAGAAAATTTAGACAGAAGCATTCTCAGAACCTTGATTGTGATGTGTGTTCTCCACTAACAGAGTTGAACCTTTCTTTTGACAGAACTGTTCTGAAACATTCTTTTTATAGAATCTGGAAGTGCATATTTGGAAAGCTTTGAGGACTTCGTTTGAAACGGGAATATCTTCAAATCAAATCTAGCCAGAAGCATTCTAAGAAACATCTTAGGGATGTTTACATTCAAGTCACAGAGTTGAACATTCCCTTTCACAGAGCAGGTTTGAAACAATCTTCTCGTACTATCTGGCAGTGGACATTTTGAGCTCCTTGGGGCCTATGCTGAAAAAGGAAATATCTTCCGACAAAAACTAGACAGAAGCATTCGCAGAATCACGTTTGTGATGTGTGCACTCAACTGTCAGAATTGAACCTTGGTTTGGACAGAGCACTTTTGAAACACTCTTTTTGTAGAATCTGCAGGTGGATATTTGGCTAGCTTTGAGGATTTCGTTGGAAACGGTAATGTCTTCAAAGAAAATCTAGACAGAAACATCCTCAGAAACACCTTCGTGATGTTTGCAATCAAGTCACAGAGTTGAACCTTCCGTTTCATAGAGCAGGTTGGAAACACTCATTTTGTAGTATCTGGAAGTGGACATTTGGAGCGCTTTCAGGCCTATGGTGTAAAAGGAAATATCTTCCCATAAAAGCGACATAGAAGCTATCTCAGGAACTTGTTTATGATGCATCTAATCAACTAACAGTGTTGAACTTTGTACTGACAGAGCAGTTTGAAACACTCTTTTTTTGGAATCTGCAAGTGGATATTTGGATCGCTTTGAGGATTTCGTTGGAAACGGGGTGCAATATAAAACGTACACAGCAGCATACTCAGAAGATACTTTGCCATATTTCCATTCAAGTCACAGAGTGGAACATTCCCATTCATAGAGCAGGTTGGAAACACTCCTTTTGTAGTATCTGGAAGTGGACATTTGGAGCGCTTTCTGAACTATGGTGAAAAAGGAAATATCTTCCAATGAAAACAAGACAGAAGCATTCTCAGAAACTTTTTTGTGATGTGTGTCCTCAACTAACGGACTTGAACCTTTCTTTTCATGCAGTACTTCTGGAACACTCTTTTTGAAGATTCTGCATGTGGATATTTGGATGGCTTTGAGGATTTCGTTGTAAACGGGATTACATATAAAAAGTAGACAGCAGCATTCAGAAACTTCTTTGTGGTGTCTGCATTCAAGTCACAGAATTGAACATTCCCTCACATAAAGCAGTTGTGAAGCACTCCATTTGTAGTATCTCGAAGTGGATATTTGGCGGGCTTTGTAGCCTATCTGGAAAAAGAAAATATCTTCCCATGAATGCGAGATAGAAGCAATCTCAGAAACTTGTTTATGCTGTATCTACTGAACGAACTCTGCTGAACCTTTCTATTGATAGAGCAGTTTTGAGACACTCTTCTTTTGGAATCTGCAAGTGGATATATGGATAGATTTGAGGATTTCGTTGGCAACGGGATTACATATCAAAAGTAGACAGCAGCATTCTCAGAAACTTCTTTGTGATGTTTGCATCTAGCTCTCAGAGTTGAACATTCCCCTTCATAGAGTAGGTTTGAAACCCTCTTTTTATAGTGTCTGGAAGCGGGCAATTGGAGCGCTTTCAGGCCTATGCTGAAAAAGGAAATTACCCATAGAAACTAGACAGAAGCATTCTGAGAATCACGTTTGTGATGTGTGTACTCAACTAAGAGAGTTGAACATTTCTTTTGATACAGTAGTTTTGAAAAACTGTTTTTGTAGAATCTGCAAGTGGATATTTGGACGTCTTTGATGCCTTCATTGGAAACGGTATTCCTTCATATGAAAGATAAACAGAAGCATTCTCAGAACCTTGATTGTGATGTGTGTTCTCCACTAACAGAGTTGAACCTTTCTTTTGACAGAACTGTTCTGAAACATTCTTTTTATAGAATCTGGAAGTGGATATTTGGAAAGCTTTGAGGATTTCGTTGGAAACGGGAATATCTTCAAATCAAATCTAGCCAGAAGCATTCTAAGAAACATCTTAGGGATGTTTACATTCAAGTCACAGAGTTGAACATTCCCTTTCACAGAGCAGGTTTGAAACAATCTTCTCGTACTATCTGGCAGTGGACATTTTGAGCTCCTTGGGGCCTATGCTGAAAAAGGAAATATCTTCCGACAAAAACTAGACAGAAGCATTCGCAGAATCACGTTTGTGATGTGTGCACTCAACTGTCAGAATTGAACCTTGGTTTGGACAGAGCACTTTTGAAACACTCTTTTTGTAGAATCTGCAGGTGGATATTTGGCTAGCTTTGAGGATTTCGTTGGAAACGGTAATGTCTTCAAAGAAAATCTAGACAGAAGCATTCTCAGAAACAACTTCGTGATGTTTGCAATCAAGTCACAGAGTTAAACCTTCCGTTTCATAGAGCAGGTTGGAAACACTCTTTTTGTAGTATCTGGAAGTGGACATTTGGAGGGCTTTGTAGCCTATCTGGAAAAAGGAAATATCTTCCCATGAATGCGAGATAGAAGTAATCTCAGAAACATGTTTATGCTGTATCTACTCAACTAACTGTGCTGAACATTTCTATTGATAGAGCAGTTTTGAGACACTCTTCTTTTGGAATCTGCAAGTGGATATTTGGATAGATTTGAGGATTTCGTTGGAAACGGGATTATATATAAAAAGTAGACAGCAGCATTCTCAGAAACTTCTTTGTGATGTTTGCATCCAGCTCTCAGAGTTGAACATTCCCTTTCATAGAGTAGGTTTGAAACCCTCTTTTTATAGTGTCTGGAAGCGGGCATTTGGAGCGCTTTCAGGCCTATGCTTAAAATAGGAAATATCTACCTACAGAAACTAGACAGAAGCATTCTGAGAATCACGTTTGTGATGTGGGTACTCAACTAACAGTGTTGATCCATTCTTTTGATACAGCAGTTTTGAACCACACTTTTTGTAGAATCTGCAAGAGGATATTTGGATAGCTGTGAGGATTTCGTTGGAAACGGGAATGTCTTCAAAGAAAATCTAGACAGAAGCATTCTCAGAAACACCTTCGTGATGTTTGCAATCAAGTCACAGAGTTGAACCTTCCGTTTCATAGAGCAGGTTGGAAACACTCTTTTTGTAGTATCTGGAAGTGGACATTTGGAGCGCTTTCAGGCCTATGGTGAAAAAGGAAATATCTTCCCATAAAAACGACATAGAAGCTATCTCAGGAACTTGTTTATGATGCATCTAATCAACTAACAGTGTTGAACCTTTGTACTGACAGAGCAGTTTGAAACACTCTTTTTTTGGAATCTGAAAGTGGATATTTGGATCGCTTTGAGGATTTCGTTGGAAACGGGATGCAATATAAAACGTACACAGCAGCATACTCAGAAAATACTTTGCCATATTTCCATTCAAGTCACAGAGTGGAACATTCCCATTCATAGAGCAGGTTGGAAACACTCTTTTTGGAGTATCTGGAAGTGGACATTTGGAGCGCTTTCTGAACTATGGTGAAAAAGGAAATATCTTCCAATGAAAACAAGACAGAAGCATTCTGAGAAACTTATTTGTGATGTGTGTCCTCAACAAACGGACTTGAACCTTTCGTTTCATGCAGTACTTCTGGAACACTCTTTTTGAAGATTCTGCATGCGGATATTTGGATAGCTTTGAGGATTTCGTTGGAAACGGGCTTACATGTAAAAATTAGACAGCAGCATTCTCAGAAACTTCTTTGTGGTGTCTGCATTCAAGTCACAGAATTGAACTTCCCCTCACATAGAGCAGTTGTGCAGCACTCTATTTGTAGTATCTGGAAGTGGACATTTGGAGGGCTTTGTAGCCTATCTGGAAAAAGGAAATATCTTCCCATGAATGCGAGATAGAAGTAATCTCAGAAACATGTTTATGCTGTATCTACTCAACTGACTGTGCTGAACATTTCTATTGATAGAGCAGTTTTGAGACACTCTTCTTTTGGAATCTGCAAGTGGATATTTCGATAGATTTGAGGATTTCGTTGGAAACGGGATTATATATAAAAAGTAGACAGCAGCATTCTCAGAAACTTCTTTGTGATGTTTGCATCCAGCTCTCAGAGTTGAACATTCCCTTTCATAGAGTAGGTTTGAAACCCTCTTTTTATAGTGTCTGGAAGCGGGCATTTGGAGCGATTTCAGGCCTATGCGGAAAAAGGAAATATCTACCTATAGAAACTAGACAGAAGCATTCTGAGAATCACGTTTGTGATGTGGGTACTCAACTAACAGTGTTGATCCATTCTTTTGATACAGCAGTTTTGAACCACACTTTTTGTAGAATCTGCAAGTGGATATTTGGATAGCTGTGAGGATTTCGTTGGAAACGGGAATGTCTTCATAGAAAATTTAGACAGAAGCATTCTCAGAACCTTGATTGTGATGTGTGTTCTCCACTAACAGGGTTGAACCTTTCTTTTGACAGAACTGTTCTGAAACATTCTTTTTATAGAATCTGGAAGTGGATATTTGGAAAGCTTTGAGGATTTCGTTTGAAACGGGAATATCTTCAAATCAAATCTAGCCAGAAGCATTCTAAGAAACATCTTAGGGATGTTTACATTCAAGTCACAGAGTTGAACATTCCCTTTCACAGAGCAGGTTTGAAACAATCTTCTCGTACTATCTGGCAGTGGACATTTTGAGCTCCTTGGGGCCTATGCTGAAAAAGGAAATATCTTCCGACAAAAACTAGACAGAAGCATTCGCAGAATCACGTTTGTGATGTGTGCACTCAACTGTCAGAATTGAACCTTTGTTTGGACAGAGCACTTTTGAAACACTCTTTTTGTAGGATCTGCAGGTGGATATTTGGCTAGCTTTGAGGATTTCGTTGGAAACGGTAATGTCTTCAAAGAAAATCTAGACAGAACATCCCTCAGAAACACCTTCGTGATGTTTGCAATCAAGTCACAGAGTTGAACCTTCCGTTTCATAGAGCAGGTTGGAAACACTCATTTTGTAGTGTCTAGAAGTGGACATTTGGAGCGCTTTCAGGCCTATGGTGTAAAAGGAAATATCTTCCCATAAAAGCGACATAGAAGCTATCTCAGGAACTTGTTTATGATGCCTCTAATCAACTAACAGTGTTGAACCTTTGTACTGACAGAGCAGTTTGAAACACTCTTTTTTTGGAATCTGCAAGTGGATATTTGGATCGCTTTGAGGATTTCGTTGGAAACGGGATGCAATATAAAACGTACACAGCAGCATACTCAGAAAATACTTTGCCATATTTCCATTCAAGTCACAGAGTGGAACATTCCCATTCATAGAGCAGGTTTGAAACACTCTTTTTGGAGTATCTGGAAGTGGACATTTGGAGCGCTTTCTGAACTATGGTGAAAAAGGAAATATCTTCCAATGAAAACAAGACAGAAGCATTCTGAGAAACTTATTTGTGATGTGTGTCCTCAACAAACGGACTTGAACCTTTCGTTTCATGCAGTACTTCTGGAACACTCTTTTTGAAGATATTGCATGCGGATATTTGGATAGCTTTGAGGATTTCGTTGGAAACGGGTTTACATGTAAAAATTAGACAGCAGCATTCTCAGAAACTTCTTTGTGGAGTCTGCATTCAAGTCACAGAATTGAACTTCCCCTCACATAGAGCAGTTGTGCAGCACTCTATTTGTAGTATCTGGAAGTGGACATTTGGAGGGCTTTGTAGCCTATCTGGAAAAAGGAAATATCTTCCCATGAATGCGAGATAGAAGTAATCTCAGAAACATGTTTATGCTGTATCTACACAACTAACTGTGCTGAACATTTCTATTGATAGAGCAGTTTTGAGACCCTCTTCTTTTGGAATCTGCAAGTGGATATTTGGATAGATTTGAGGATTTCGTTGGAAACGGGATTATATATAAAAAGTAGACAGCAGCATTCTCAGAAACTTCTTTGTGATGTTTGCATCCAGCTCTCAGAGTTGAACATTCCCTTTCATAATGTAGGTTTGAAACCCTCTTTTTATAGTGTCTGGAAGCGGGCATTTGGAGCGCTTTCAGGCCTATGCTGAAAAAGGAAATATCTACATATAGAAACTAGACAGAAGCATTCTGAGAATCAAGTTTGTGATGTGGGTACTCAACTAACAGTGTTGATCCATTCTTTTGATACAGCAGTTTTGAACCACACTTTTTGTAGAATCTGCAAGTGGATATTTGGATAGCTGTGAGGATTTCGTTGGAAACGGGAATGTCTTCATAGAAAATTTAGACAGAAGCATTCTCAGAACCTTGATTGTGATGTGTGTTCTCCACTAACAGAGTTGAACCTTTCTTTTGACAGAACTGTTCTGAAACATTCTTTTTATAGAATCTGGAAGTGGATATTTGGAAAGCTTTGAGGATTTCGTTGGAAACGGGAATATCTTCAAATAAAATCTAGCCAGAAGCATTCTAAGAAACATCTTAGGGATGTTTACATTCAAGTCACAGAGTTGAACATTCCCCTTTCTCAGAGCAGGTTTGAAACAATCTTCTCGTACTATCTGGCAGTGGACATTTTGAGCTCCTTGGGGCCTATGCTGAAAAAGGAAATATCTTCCGACAAAAACTAGACAGAAGCATTCGCAGAATCATGTTTGTGATGTGTGCACTCAACTGTCAGAATTGAACCTTGGTTTGGACAGAGCACTTTTGAAACACTCTTTTTGTAGAATCTGCAGGTGGATATTTCGCTAGCTTTGAGGATTTCGTTGGAAACGGTAATGTCTTCAAAGAAAATCTAGACAGAAACATCCTCAGAAACACCTTCGTGATGTTTGCAATCAAGTCACAGAGTTGAACCTTCCGTTTCATAGAGCAGGTTGGAAACACTCATTTTGTAGTATCTGGAAGTGGACATTTGGAGCGCTTTCAGGCCTATGGTGTAAAAGGAAATATCTTCCCATAAAAGCGACATAGAAGCTATCTCAGGAACTTGTTTATGATGCATGTAATCAACTAACAGTGTTGAACCTTTGTACTGACAGAGCAGTTTGAAACACTCTTTTTTTGGAATCTGCAAGTGGATATTTGGATCGCTTTGAGGATTTCGTTGGAAACGGGATGCAATATAAAACGTACACAGCAGCATACTCAGAAAATACTTTGCCATATTTCCATTCAAGTCACAGAGTGGAACATTCCCATTCATAGAGCAGGTTTGAAACACTCTTTTTGGAGTCTCTGGAAGTGGACATTTGGAGCGCTTTCTGAACTATGGTGAAAAAGGAAATATCTTCCAATGAAAACAAGACAGAAGCATTCTGAGAAACTTATTTGTGATGCGTGTCCTCAACTAACGGACTCGAAGCTTTCGTTTCATGCAGTACTTCTGGAACACTCTTTTTGAAGATTCTGCATGCGGATATTTGGTTAGCTTTGAGGATTTCGTTGGAAACGGGCTTACATATAAAAATTAGACAGGAGCATTCTCAGAAACTTCTTTGTGGTGTCTGCATTCAAGTCACAGAATCGAACATCCCCTCACATAGAGCAGTTGTACAGCACTCTATTTGTAGTATCTCGAAGTGGACATTTGGAGGGCTTTGTAGCCTATCTGGAAAAAGGAAATATCTTCCCATGAATGCGAGATAGAAGTAATCTCAGAAACATGTTTATGCTGTATCTACTCAACTAACTGTGCTGAACATTTCTATTGATAGAGCAGTTTTGAGACACTCTTCTTTTGGAATCTGCAAGTGGATATTTGGATAGATTTGAGGATTTCGTTGGAAACGGGATTATATATAAAAAGTAGACAGCAGCATTCTCAGAAACTTCTTTGTGATGTTTGCATCCAGCTCTCAGAGTTGAACATTCCCTTTCATAGAGTAGGTTTGAAACCCTCTTTTTATAGTGTCTGGAAGCGGGCATTTGGAGCACTTTCAGGCCTATGCTTAAAATAGGAAATATCTACCTACAGAAACTAGACAGAAGCATTCTGAGAATCACGTTTGTGATGTGGGTACTCAACTAACAGTGTTGATCCATTCTTTTGATACAGCAGTTTTGAACCACACTTTTTGTAGAATCTGCAAGAGGATATTTGGATAGCTGTGAGGATTTCGTTGGAAACGGGAATGTCTTCAAAGAAAATCTAGACAGAAACATTCTCAGAAACACCTTCGTGATGTTTGCAATCAAGTCACAGAGTTGAACCTTCCGTTTCATAGAGCAGGTTGGAAACACTCTTTTTGTAGTATCTGGAAGTGGACATTTGGAGCGCTTTCAGGCCTATGGTGAAAAAGGAAATATCTTCCCATAAAAACGACATAGAAGCTATCTCAGGAACTTGTTTATGATGCATCTAATCAACTAACAGTGTTGAACCTTTGTACTGACAGAGCAGTTTGAAACACTCTTTTTTTGGAATCTGCAAGTGGATATTTGGATCGCTTTGAGGATTTCGTTGGAAACGGGATGCAATATAAAACGTACACAGCAGCATACTCAGAAAATACTTTGCCATATTTCCATTCAAGTCACAGAGTGGAACATTCCCATTCATAGAGCAGGTTGGAAACACTCTTTTTGGAGTATCTGGAAGTGGACATTTGGAGCGCTTTCTGAACTATGGTGAAAAAGGAAATATCTTCCAATGAAAACAAGACAGAAGCATTCTGAGAAACTTATTTGTGATGTGTGTCCTCAACAAACGGACTTGAACCTTTCGTTTCATGCAGTACTTCTGGAACACTCTTTTTGAAGATTCTGCATGCGGATATTTGGATAGCTTTGAGGATTTCGTTGGAAACGGGCTTACATGTAAAAATTAGACAGCAGCATTCTCAGAAACTTCTTTGTGGTGTCTGCATTCAAGTCACAGAATTGAACTTCCCCTCACATAGAGCAGTTGTGCAGCACTCTATTTGTAGTATCTGGAAGTGGACATTTGGAGGGCTTTGTAGCCTATCTGGAAAAAGGAAATATCTTCCCATGAATGCGAGATAGAAGTAATCTCAGAAACATGTTTATGCTGTATCTACTCAACTAACTGTGCTGAACATTTCTATTGATAGAACAGTTTTGAGACACTCTTCTTTTGGAATCTGCAAGTGGATATTTGGATAGATTTGAGGATTTCGTTGGAAACGGGATTATATATAAAAAGTAGACAGCAGCATTCTCAGAAAACTTCTTTGTGATGTTTGCATCCAGCTCTCAGAGTTGAACATTCCCTTTCATAGAGTAGGTTTGAAACCCTCTTTTTATAGTGTCTGGAAGCGGGCATTTGGAGCGCTTTCAGGCCTATGCTTAAAATAGGAAATATCTACCTACAGAAACTAGACAGAAGCATTCTGAGAATCACGTTTGTGATGTGGGTACTCAACTAACAGTGTTGATCCATTCTTTTGATACAGCAGTTTTGAACCACACTTTTTGTAGAATCTGCAAGAGGATATTTGGATAGCTGTGAGGATTTCGTTGGAAACGGGAATGTCTTCAAAGAAAATCTAGACAGAAGCATTCTCAGAAACACCTTCGTGATGTTTGCAATCAAGTCACAGAGTTGAACCTTCCGTTTCATAGAGCAGGTTGGAAACACTCTTATTGTAGTATCTGGAAGTGGACATTTGGAGCGCTTTCAGGCCTATGGTGAAAAAGGAAATATCTTCCCATAAAAACGACATAGAAGCTATCTCAGGAACTTGTTTATGATGCATCTAATCAACTAACAGTGTTGAACCTTTGTACTGACAGAGCAGTTTGAAACACTCTTTTTTTGGAATCTGCAAGTGGATATTTGGATCGCTTTGAGGATTTCGTTGGAAACGGGATGCAATATAAAACGTACACAGCAGCATACTCAGAAAATACTTTGCCATATTTCCATTCAAGTCACAGAGTGGAACATTCCCATTCATAGAGCAGGTTTGAAACACTCTTTTTGGAGTATCTGGAAGTGGACATTTGGAGCGCTTTCTGAACTATGGTGAAAAAGGAAATATCTTCCAATGAAAACAACACAGAAGCATTCTGAGAAACTTATTTGTGATGTGTGTCCTCAACAAACGGACTTGAACCTTTCGTTTCATGCAGTACTTCTGGAACACTCTTTTTGAAGATTCTGCATGCGGATATTTGGATAGCTTTGAGGATTTCGTTGGAAACGGCCTTACATGTAAAAATTAGACAGCAGCATTCTCAGAAACTTCTTTGTGGTGTCTGCATTCAAGTCACAGAATTGAACTTCCCCTCACATAGAGCAGTTGTGCAGCACTCTATTTGTAGTATCTGGAAGTGGACATTTGGAGGGCTTTGTAGCCTATCTGGAAAAAGGAAATATCTTCCCATGAATGCGAGATAGAAGTAATCTCAGAAACATGTTTATGCTGTATCTACTCATCTAACTGTGCTGAACATTTCTATTGATAGAGCAGTTTTGAGACACTCTTCTTTTGGAATCTGCAAGTGGATATTTGGATAGATTTGAGGATTTTGTTGGAAACGGGATTATATATAAAAAGTAGACAGCAGCATTCTCAGAAACTTCTTTGTGATGTTTGCATCCAGCTCTCAGAGTTGAACATTCCCTTTCATAGAGTAGGTTTGAAACCCTCTTTTTATAGTGTCTGGAAGCGGGCATTTGGAGCGCTTTCAGGCCTATGCTGAAAAAGGAAATATCTACCTATAGAAACTAGACAGAAGCATTCTGAGAATCACGTTTGTGATGTGGGTACTCAACTAACAGTGTTGATCCATTCTTTTGATACAGCAGTTTCGAACCACACTTTTTGTAGAATCTGCAAGTGGATATTTGGATAGCTGTGAGGATTTCCTTGGAAACGGGAATGTCTTCATAGAAAATTTAGACAGAAGCATTCTCAGAACCTTGATTGTGATGTGTGTTCTCCACTAACAGAGTTGAACCTTTCTTTTGACAGAACTGTTCTGAAACATTCTTTTTATAGAATCTGGAAGTGGATATTTGGAAAGCTTTGAGGATTTCGTTGGAAACGGGAATATCTTCAAATCAAATCTACGCCAGAAGCATTCTAAGAAACATCTTAGGGATGTTTACATTCAAGTCACAGAGTTGAACATTCCCTTTCACAGAGCAGGTTTGAAACAATCTTCTCGTACTATCTGGCAGTGGACATTTTGAGCTCCTTGGGGCCTATGCTGAAAAAGGAAATATCTTCCGACAAAAACTAGACAGAAGCATTCGCAGAATCACGTTTGTGATGTGTGCACTCAACTGTCAGAATTGAACCTTGGTTTGGAGAGAGCACTTTTGAAACACACTTTTTGTAGAATCTGCAGGTGGATATTTGGCTAGCTTTGAGGATTTCGTTGGAAACGGTAATGTCTTCAAAGAAAATCTAGACAGAAGCATTCTCAGAAACACCTTCGTGATGTTTGCAATCAAGTCACAGAGTTGAACCTTCCGTTTCATAGAGCAGGTTGGAAACACACTTTTTGTAGTATCTGGAAGTGGACATTTGGAGGGCTTTGTAGCCTATCTGGAAAAAGGAAATATCTTCCCATGAATGCGAGATAGAAGCTATCTCAGGAACTTGTTTATGATGCATCTAATCAACTAACAGTGTTGAACCTTTGTACTGACAGAGCAGTTTGAAACACTCTTTTTTTGGAATCTGCAAGTGGATATTTGGATCGCTTTGAGGATTTCGTTGGAAACGGGATGCAATATAAAACGTACACAGCAGCATACTCAGAAAATACTTTGCCAGATTTCCATTCAAGTCACAGAGTGGAACATTCCCATTCATAGAGCAGGTTTGAAACACTCTTTTTGGAGTATCTGGAAGTGGACATTTGGAGCGCTTTCTGAACTATGGTGAAAAAGGAAATATCTTCCAATGAAAACAAGACAGAAGCATTCTGAGAAACTTATTTGTGATGTGTGTCCTCAACAAACGGACTTGAACCTTTCGTTTCATGCAGTACTTCTGGAACACTCTTTTTGAAGATTCTGCATGCGGATATTTGGATAGCTTTGAGGATTTCGTTGGAAACGGGCTTACATGTAAAAATTAGACAGCAGCATTCTCAGAAACTTCTTTGTGGTGTCTGCATTCAAGTCACAGAATTGAACTTCCCCTCACATAGAGCAGTTGTGCAGCACTCTATTTGTAGTATCTCGAAGTGGACATTTGGAGGGCTTTGTAGCCTATCTGGAAAAAGGAAATATCTTCCCATGAATGCGAGATAGAAGTAATCTCAGAAACATGTTTATGCTGTATCTACTCAACTAACTGTGCTGAACATTTCTATTGATAGAGCAGTTTTGAGACACTCTTCTTTTGGAATCTGCAAGTGGATATTTGGATAGATTTGAGGATTTCGTTGGAAACGGGATTATATATAAAAAGTAGACAGCAGCATTCTCAGAAACTTCTTTGTGATGTTTGCATCCAGCTCCCAGAGTTGAACATTCCCTTTCATAGAGTAGGTTTGAAACCCTCTTTTTATAGTGTCTGGAAGCGGGCATTTGGAGCGCTTTCAGGCCTATGCTTAAAATAGGAAATATCTACCTACAGAAACTAGACAGAAGCATTCTGAGAATCACGTTTGTGATGTGGGTACTCAACTAACAGTGTTGATCCATTCTTTTGATACAGCAGTTTTGAACCACACTTTTTGTAGAATCTGCAAGAGGATATTTGGATAGCTGTGAGGATTTCGTTGGAAACGGGAATGTCTTCAAAGAAAATCTAGACAGAAGCATTCTCAGAAACACCTTCGTGATGTTTGCAATCAAGTCACAGAGTTGAACCTTCCGTTTCATAGAGCAGGTTGGAAACACTCTTATTGTAGTATCTGGAAGTGGACATTTGGAGCGCTTTCAGGCCTATGGTGAAAAAGGAAATATCTTCCCATAAAAACGACATAGAAGCTATCTCAGGAACTTGTTTATGATGCATCTAATCAACTAACAGTGTTGAACCTTTGTACTGACAGAGCAGTTTGAAACACTCTTTTTTTGGAATCTGCAAGTGGATATTTGGATCGCTTTGAGGATTTCGTTGGAAACGGGATGCAATATAAAACGTACACAGCAGCATACTCAGAAAATACTTTGCCATATTTCCATTCAAGTCACAGAGTGGAACATTCCCATTCATAGAGCAGGTTTGAAACACTCTTTTTGGAGTATCTGGAAGTGGACATTTGGAGCGCTTTCTGAACTATGGTGAAAAAGGAAATATCTTCCAATGAAAACAAGACAGAAGCATTCTGAGAAACTTATTTGTGATGTGTGTCCTCAACAAACGGACTTGAACCTTTCGTTTCATGCAGTACTTCTGGAACACTCTTTTTGAAGATTCTGCATGTGGATATTTGGATAGCTTTGAGGATTTCGTTGGAAACGGGCTTACATGTAAAAATTAGACAGCAGCATTCTCAGAAACTTCTTTGTGGTGTCTGCATTCAAGTCACAGAATTGAACTTCCCCTCACATAGAGCAGTTGTGCAGCACTCTATTTGTAGTATCTGGAAGTGGACATTTGGAGGGCTTTGTAGCCTATCTGGAAAAAGGAAATATCTTCCCATGAATGCGAGATAGAAGTAATCTCAGAAACATGTTTATGCTGTATCTATTCAACTAACTGTGCTGAACATTTCTATTGATAGAGCAGTTTTGAGACACTCTTCTTTTGGAATCTGCAAGTGGATATTTGGATAGATTTGAGGATTTCGTTGGAAACGGGATTATATATAAAAAGTAGACAGCAGCATTCTCAGAAACTTCTTTGTGATGTTTGCATCCAGCTCTCAGAGTTGAACATTCCCTTTCATAGAGTAGGTTTGAAACCCTCTTTTTATAGTGTCTGGAAGCGGGCATTTGGAGCGCTTTCAGGCCTATGCTGAAAAAGGAAATATCTACCTATAGAAACTAGACAGAAGCATTCTGAGAATCACGTTTGTGATGTGGGTACTCAACTAACAGTGTTGATTCATTCTTTTGATACAGCAGTTTTGAACCACACTTTTTGTAGAATCTGCAAGTGGATATTTGGATAGCTGTGAGGATTTCCTTGGAAACGGGAATGTCTTCATAGAAAATTTAGACAGAAGCATTCTCAGAACCTTGATTGTGATGTGTGTTCTCCACTAACAGGGTTGAACCTTTCTTTTGACAGAACTCTTTTGAAACATTCTTTTTATAGAATCTGGAAGTGGATATTTGAAAAGCTTTGAGGATTTCGTTGGAAACGGGAATATCTTCAAATAAAATCTAGCCAGAAGCATTCTAAGAAACATCTTAGGGATGTTTACATTCAAGTCACAGAGTTGAACATTCCCTTTCACAGCAGCAGGTTTGAAACAATCTTCTCGTACTATCTGGCAGTGGACATTTTGAGCTCCTTGGGGCCTATGCTGAAAAAGGAAATATCTTCCGACAAAAACTAGACAGAAGCATTCGCAGAATCACGTTTGTGATGTGTGCACTCAACTGTCAGAATTGAACCTTGGTTTGGACAGAGCACTTTTGAAACACTCTTTTTGTAGAATCTGCAGGTGGATATTTGGCTAGCTTTGAGGATTTCGTTGGAAACGGTAATGTCTTCAAAGAAAATCTAGACAGAAGCATTCTCAGAAACACCTTCGTGATGTTTGCAATCAAGTCACAGAGTTGAACCTTCCGTTTCATAGAGCAGGTTGGAAACACTCTTTTTGTAGTATCTGGAAGTGGACATTTGGAGGGCTTTGTAGCCTATCTGGAAAAAGGAAATATCTTCCCATGAATGCGAGATAGAAGTAATCTCAGAAACATGTTTATGCTGTATCTACTCAACTAACTGTGCTGAACATTTCTATTGATAGAGCAGTTTTGAGACACTCTTCTTTTGGAATCTGCAAGTGGATATTTGGATAGATTTGAGGATTTCGTTGGAAACGGGATTATATATAAAAAGTAGACAGCAGCATTCTCAGAAACTTCTTTGTGATGTTTGCATCCAGCTCTCAGAGTTGAACATTCCCTTTCATAGAGTAGGTTTGAAACCCTCTTTTTATAGTGTCTGGAAGCGGGCATTTGGGTCGCTTTCAGGCCTATGCTGAAAAAGGAAATATCTACCTTTAGAAACTAGACAGAAGCATTCTGAGAATCACGTTTGTGATGTGGGTACTCAACTAACAGTGTTGATCCATTCTTTTGATACAGCAGTTTTGAACCACACTTTTTGTAGAATCTGCAAGTGGATATTTGGATAGCTGTGAGGATTTCGTTGGAAACGGGAATGTCTTCATAGAAAATGTAGACAGAAGCATTCTCAGAACCTTGATTGTGATGTGTGTTCTCCACTAACAGAGTTGAACCTTTCTTTTGACAGAACTGTTCTGAAACATTCTTTTTATAGAATCTGGAAGTGGATATTTGGAAAGCTTTGAGGATTTCGTTGGAAACGGGAATATCTTCAAATCAAATCTAGCCAGAAGCATTCTAAGAAACATCTTAGGGATGTTTACATTCAAGTCACAGAGTTGAACATTCCCTTTCACAGAGCAGGTTTGAAACAATCTTCTCGTACTATCTGGCAGTGGACATTTTGAGCTCCTTGGGGCCTATGCTGAAAAAGGAAATATCTTCCGACAAAAACTAGACAGAAGCATTCGCAGAATCACGTTTGTGATGTGTGCACTCAACTGTCAGAATTGAACCTTGGTTTGGACAGAGCACTTTTGAAACACTCTTTTTGTAGAATCTGCAGGTGGATATTTGGCTAGCTTTGAGGATTTCGTTGGAAACGGTAATGTCTTCAAAGAAAATCTAGACAGAAGCATTCTCAGAAACACCTTCGTGATGTTTGCAATCAAGTCACAGAGTTGAACCTTCCGTTTCATAGAGCAGGTTGGAAACACTCATTTTGTAGTATCTGGAATTGGACATTTGGAGCGATTTCAGGCCTATGGTGTAAAAGGAAATATCTTCCCATAAAAGCGACATAGAAGCTATCTCAGGAACTTGTTTATGATGCATCTAATCAACTAACAGTGTTGAACCTTTGTACTGACAGAGCAGTTTGAAACACTCTTTTTTTGGAATCTGCAAGTGGATATTTGGATCGCTTTGAGGATTTCGTTGGAAACGGGATGCAATATAAAACGTACACAGCAGCATACTCAGAAAATACTTTGCCATATTTCCATTCAAGTCACAGAGTGGAACATTCCCATTCATAGAGCAGGTTGGAAACACTCTTTTTGGAGTATCTGGAAGTGGACATTTGGAGCGCTTTCTGAACTATGGTGAAAAAGGAAATATCTTCCAATGAAAACAAGACAGAAGCATTCTGAGAAACTTATTTGTGATGTGTGTCCTCAACAAACGGACTTGAACCTTTCGTTTCATGCAGTACTTCTGGAACACTCTTTTTGAAGATTCTGCATGCGGATATTTGGATAGCTTTGAGGATTTCGTTGGAAACGGGCTTACATGTAAAAATTAGACAGCAGCATTCTCAGAAACTTCTTTGTGGTGTCTGCATTCAAGTCACAGAATTGAACATCCCCTCACATAGAGCAGTTGTGCAGCACTCTATTTGTAGTATCTCGAAGTGGACATTTGGAGGGCTTTGTAGCCTATCTGGAAAAAGGAAATATCTTCCCATGAATGCGAGATAGAAGTAATCTCAGAAACATGTTTATGCTGTATCTACTCAACTAACTGTGCTGAACATTTCTATTGATAGAGCAGTTTTGAGACACTCTTCTTTTGGAATCTGCAAGTGGATATTTGGATAGATTTGAGGATTTCGTTGGAAACGGGATTATATATAAAAAGTAGACAGCAGCATTCTCAGAAACTTCTTTGTGATGTTTGCATCCAGCTCTCAGAGTTGAACATTCCCTTTCATAGAGTAGGTTTGAAACCCTCTTTTTATAGTGTCTGGAAGCGGGCATTTGGAGCGCTTTCAGGCCTATGCTGAAAAAGGAAATATCTACCTATAGAAACTAGACAGAAGCATTCTGAGAATCACGTTTGTGATGTGGGTACTCAACTAACAGTGTTGATCCATTCTTTTGATACAGCAGTTTTGAACCACACTTTTTGTAGAATCTGCAAGTGGATATTTGGATAGCTGTGAGGATTTCGTTGGAAACGGGAATGTCTTCATAGAAAATTTAGACAGAAGCATTCTCAGAACCTGGATTGTGATGTGTGTTCTCCACTAACAGAGTTGAACCTTTCTTTGGACAGAACTGTTTTGAAACATTCTTTTTATAGAATCTGGAAGTGGATATTTGGAAAGCTTTGAGGATTTCGTTGGAAACGGGAATATCTTCAAATAAAATCTAGCCAGAAGCATTCTAAGAAACATCTTAGGGATGTTTACATTCAAGTCACAGAGTTGAACATTCCCCTTTCTCAGAGCAGGTTTGAAACAATCTTCTCGTACTATCTGGCAGTGGACATTTTGAGCTCCTTGGGGCCTATGCTGAAAAAGGAAATATCTTCCGACAAAAACTAGACAGAAGCATTCGCAGAATCACGTTTGTGATGTGTGCACTCAACTGTCAGAATTGAACCTTGGTTTGGACAGAGCACTTTTGAAACACTCTTTTTGTAGAATCTGCAGGTGGATATTTGGCTAGCTTTGAGGATTTCGTTGGAAACGGTAATGTCTTCAAAGAAAATCTAGACAGAAGCATTCTCAGAAACACCTTCGTGATGTTTGCAATCAAGTCACAGAGTTGAACCTTCCGTTTCATAGAGCAGGTTGGAAACACTCTTTTTGTAGTATCTGGAAGTGGACATTTGGAGCACTTTCAGGCCTATGGTGAAAAAGGAAATATCTTCCCATAAAAACGACATAGAAGCTATCTCAGGAACTTGTTTATGATGCATCTAATCAACTAACAGTGTTGAACCTTTGTACTGACAGAGCAGTTTGAAACACTCTTTTTTTGGAATCTGCAAGTGGATATTTGGATCGCTTTGAGGATTTCGTTGGAAACGGGATGCAATATAAAACGTACACAGCAGCATACTCAGAAAATACTTTGCCATATTTCCATTCAAGTCACAGAGTGGAACATTCCCATTCATAGAGCAGGTTTGAAACACACTTTTTGGAGTATCTGGAAGTGGACATTTGGAGCGCTTTCTGAACTATGGTGAAAAAGGAAATATCTTCCAATGAAAACAACACAGAAGCATTCTGAGAAACTTATTTGTGATGTGTGTCCTCAACAAACGGACTTGAACCTTTCGTTTCATGCAGTACTTCTGGAACACTCTTTTTGAAGATTCTGCATGCGGATATTTGGATAGCTTTGAGGATTTCGTTGGAAACGGGCTTACATGTAAAAATTAGACAGCAGCATTCTCAGAAACTTCTTTGTGGTGTCTGCATTCAAGTCACAGAATTGAACTTCCCCTCACATAGAGCAGTTGTGCAGCACTCTATTTGTAGTATCTGGAAGTGGACATTTGGAGGGCTTTGTAGCCTATCTGGAAAAAGGAAATATCTTCCCATGAATGCGAGATAGAAGTAATCTCAGAAACATGTTTATGCTGTATCTACTCAACTAACTGTGCTGAACATTTCTATTGATAGAGCAGTTTTGAGACACTCTTCTTTTGGAATCCGCAAGTGGATATTTGGATAGATTTGAGGATTTCGTTGGAAACGGGATTATATATAAAAAGTAGACAGCAGCATTCTCAGAAACTTCTTTGTGATGTTTGCATCCAGCTCTCAGAGTTGAACATTCCCTTTCATAGAGTAGGTTTGAAACCCTCTTTTTATAGTGTCTGGAAGCGGGCATTTGGAGCGCTTTCAGGCCTATGCTGAAAAAGGAAATATCTACCTATAGAAACTAGACAGAAGCATTCTGAGAATCACGTTTGTGATGTGGGTACTCAATTAACAGTGTTGATCCATACTTTTGATACAGCAGTTTCGAACCACACTTTTTGTAGAATCTGCAAGTGGATATTTGGATAGCTGTGAGGATTTCCTTGGAAACGGGAATGTCTTCATAGACAATTTAGACAGAAGCATTCTGAGAACCTTGATTGTGATGTGTGTTCTCCACTAAAAGGGCTGAACCTTTCTTTTGACAGAACTGTTCTGAAACATTCTTTTTATAGAATCTGGAAGTGGATATTTGGAATGATTTGGGGATTTCGTTGGAAACGGGAATATCTTCAAATAAAATCTAGCCAGAAGCATTCTAAGAAACAGCTTAGGGATGTTTACATTCAAGTCACAGAGTTGAACATTCCCTTTCACAGAGCAGGTTTGAAACAATCTTCTCGTACTATCTGGCAGTGGACATTTTGAGCTCTTTGGGGCCTATGCTGAAAAAGGAAATATCTTCCGACAAAAACTAGACAGAAGCATTCGCAGAATCACGTTTGTGATGTGTGCACTCAACTGTCAGAATTGAACCTTGGTTTGGAGAGAGCACTTTTGAAACACTCTTTTTGTAGAATCTGCAGGTGGATATTTGGCTAGCTTTGAGGATTTCGTTGGAAACGGTAATGTCTTCAAAGAAAATCTAGACAGAAGCATTCTCAGAAACAGCGTCGTGATGTTTGCAATCAAGTCACAGAGTTGAACCTTCCGTTTCATAGAGCAGGTTGGAAACACTCTTTTTGTAGTATCTGGAAGTGGACATTTGGAGGGCTTTGTAGCCTATCTGGAAAAAGGAAATATCTTCCCATGAATGCGAGATAGAATCTATATCAGGAACTTGTTTATGATGCATCTAATCAACTAACAGTGTTGAACCTTTGTACTGACAGAGCAGTTTGAAACACTCTTTTTTTGGAATCTGCAAGTGGATATTTGGATCGCTTTGAGGATTTCGTTGGAAACGGGATGCAATATAAAACGTACACAGCAGCATACCCAGAAAATACTTTGCCATATTTCCATTCAAGTCACAGAGTGGAACATTCCCATTCATAGAGCAGGTTGGAAACACTCTTTTTGGAGTATCTGGAAGTGGACATTTGGAGCGCTTTCTGAACTATGGTGAAAAAGGAAATATCTTCCAATGAATACAAGACACAAGCATTCTGAGAAACTTATTTGTGATGCGTGTCCTCAACAAACGGACTCGAAGCTTTCGTTTCATGCAGTACTTCTGGAACACTCTTTTTGAAGATTCTGCATGCAGATATTTGGTTAGCTTTGAGGATATCGTTGGAAACGGGCTTACATATAAAAATTAGACAGCAGCATTCTCAGAAACTTCTTTGTGGTGTCTGCATTCAAGTCACAGAATTGAACATCCCCTCACATAGAGCAGTTGTGCAGCACTCTATTTTTAGTATCTCGAAGTGGACATTTGGAGGGCTTTGTAGCCTATCTGGATAAAGGAAATATCTTCCCATGAATGCGAGATGGAAGTAATCTCAGAAACATGTTTATGCTGTATCTACTCAACTAACTGTGCTGAACATTTCTATTGATAGAGCAGTTTTGAGACACTCTTCTTTTGGAATCTGCAAGTGGATATTTGGCTAGATTTGAGGATTTCGTTGGAAACGGGATTATATATAAAAAGTAGACAGCAGCATTCTCAGAAACTTCTTTGTGATGTTTGCATCCAGCTCTCAGAGTTGAACATTCCCTTTCATAGAGTAGGTTGGAAACCCTCTTTATATAGTGTCTGGAAGTGGGCATTTGGAGCGCTTTCAGGCCTATGCTGAAAAAGGAAATATCTACCTATAGAAACTAGACAGAAGCATTCTGAGAATCACGTTTGTGATGTGGGTACTCAACTAACAGTGTTGATCCATTCTTTTGATACAGCAGTTTTGAACCACCCTTTTTGTAGAATCTGCAATTGGATATTTGGATAGCTGTGAGGATTTCGTTGGAAACGGGAATGTCTTCAGAGAAAATTTAGACAGAAGCATTCTCAGAACCTTGATTGTGAAGTGTGTTCTCCACTAACAGAGTTGAACCTTTCTTTTGACAGAACTGTTCTGAAACATTCTTGTTATAGAATCTGGAAGTGGATATTTGGAAAGCTTTGAGGATTTCGTTGGAAACGGGAATATCTTCAAATCAAATCTAGCCAGAAGCATTCTAAGAAACATCTTAGGGATGTTTACATTCAAGTCACAGAGTTGAACATTCCCTTTCACAGAGCAGGTTTGAAACAATCTTCTCGTACTATCTGGCAGTGGACATTTTGAGCTCCTTGGGGCCTATGCTGAAAAAGGAAATATCTTCCGACAAAAACTAGACAGAAGCATTCGCAGAATCACGTTTGTGATGTGTGCACTCAACTGTCAGAATTGAACCTTGGTTTGGACAGAGCACTTTTGAAACACTCTTTTTGTAGAATCTGCAGGTGGATATTTGGCTAGCTTTGAGGATTTCGTTGGAAACGGTAATGTCTTCAAAGAAAATCTAGACAGAAGCATTCTCAGAAACACCTTCGTGATGTTTGCAATCAAGTCACAGAGTTGAACCTTCCGTTTCATACAGCAGGTTGGAAACACTCTTTTTGTAGTATCTGGAAGTGGACATTTGGAGCGCTTTAAGGCCTATGGTGAAAAAGGAAATATCTTCCCATAAAAACGACATAGAAGCTATCTCAGGAACTTGTTTATGATGCATCTAATCAACTAACAGTGTTGAACCTTTGTACTGACAGAGCAGTTTGAAACACTCTTTTTTTGGAATCTGCAAGTGGATATTTGGATCGCTTTGAGGATTTCGTTGGAAACGGGATGCAATATAAAACGTACACAGCAGCATACTCAGAAAATACTTTGCCATATTTCCATTCAAGTCACAGAGTGGAACATTCCCATTCATAGAGCAGGTTTGAAACACTCTTTTTGGAGTATCTGGAAGTGGACATTTGGAGCGCTTTCTGAACTATGGTGAAAAAGGAAATAACTTCCAATGAAAACAAGACAGAAGCATTCTGAGAAACTTATTTGTGATGTGTGTCCTCAACAAACGGACTTGAACCTTTCGTTTCATGCAGTACTTCTGGAACACTCTTTTTGAAGATTCTGCATGCGGATATTTGGATAGCTTTGAGGATTTCGTTGGAAACGGGCTTACATGTAAAAATTAGACAGCAGCATTCTCAGAAACTTCTTTGTGGTGTCTGCATTCAAGTCACAGAATTGAACTTCCCCTCACATAGAGCAGTTGTGCGGCACTCTATTTGTAGTATCTGGAAGTGGACATTTGGAGGGCTTTGTAGCCTATGTGGAAAAAGGAAATATCTTCCCATGAATGCGAGATAGAAGTAATCTCAGAAACATGTTTATGCTGTATCTACTCAACTAACTGTGCTGAACATTTCTATTGATAGAGCAGTTTTGAGACACTCTTCTTTTGGAATCTGCAAGTGGATATTTGGATAGATTTGAGGATTTCGTTGGAAACGGGATTATATATAAAAAGTAGACAGCAGCATTCTCAGAAACTTCTTTGTGATGTTTGCATCCAGCTCTCAGAGTTGAACATTCCCTTTCATAGAGTAGGTTTGAAACCCTCTTTTTATAGTGTCTGGAAGCGGGCATTTGGAGCGCTTTCAGGCTTATGCTTAAAATAGGAAATATCTACCTACAGAAACTAGACAGAAGCATTCTGAGAATCACGTTTGTGATGTGGGTACTCAACTAACAGTGTTGATCCATTCTTTTGATACAGCAGTTTTGAACCACACTTTTTGTAGAATCTGCAAGTGGATATTTGGATAGCTGTGAGGATTTCGTTGGAAACGGGAATGTCTTCATAGAAAATGTAGACAGAAGCATTCTCAGAACCTTGATTGTGATGTGTGTTCTCCACTAACAGAGTTGAACCTTTCTTTTGACAGAACTGTTCTGAAACATTCTTTTTATAGAATCTGGAAGTGGATATTTGGAAAGCTTTGAGGATTTCGTTGGAAACGGGAATATCTTCAAATCAAATCTAGCCAGAAGCATTCTAAGAAACATCTTAGGGATGTTTACATTCAAGTCACAGAGTTGAACATTCCCTTTCACAGCAGCAGGTTTGAAACAATCTTCTCGTACTATCTGGCAGTGGACATTTTGAGCTCCTTGGGGCCTATGCTGAAAAAGGAAATATCTTCCGACAAAAACTAGACAGAAGCATTCGCAGAATCACGTTTGTGATGTGTGCACTCAACTGTCAGAATTGAACCTTGGTTTGGACAGAGCACTTTTGAAACACTCTTTTTGTAGAATCTGCAGGTGGATATTTGGCTAGCTTTGAGGATTTCGTTGGAAACGGTAATGTCTTCAAAGAAAATCTAGACAGAAGCATTCTCAGAAACACCTTCGTGATGTTTGCAATCAAGTCACAGAGTTGAACCTTCCGTTTCATAGAGCAGGTTGGAAACACTCTTTTTGTAGTATCTGGAAGTGGACATTTGGAGTGCTTTCAGGCCTATGGTGAAAAAGGAAATATCTTCCCATAAAAACGACATAGAAGCTATCTCAGGAACTTGTTTATGATGCATCTAATCAACTAACAGTGTTGAACCTTTGTACTGACAGAGCAGTTTGAAACACTCTTTTTTTGGAATCTGCAAGTGGATATTTGGATCGCTTTGAGGATTTCGTTGGAAACGGGATGCAATATAAAACGTACACAGCAGCATACTCAGAAAATACTTTGCCATATTTCCATTCAAGTCACAGAGTGGAACATTCCCATTCATAGAGCAGGTTGGAAACACTCTTTTTGGAGTATCTGGAAGTGGACATTTGGAGCGCTTTCTGAACTATGGTGAAAAAGGAAATATCTTCCAATGAAAACAAGACAGAAGCATTCTGAGAAACTTATTTGTGATGTGTGTCCTCAACAAACGGACTTGAACCTTTCGTTTCATGCAGTACTTCTGGAACACTCTTTTTGAAGATTCTGCATGCGGATATTTGGATAGCTTTGAGGATTTCGTTGGAAACGGGCTTACATGTAAAAATTAGACAGCAGCATTCTCAGAAACTTCTTTGTGGTGTCTGCATTCAAGTCACAGAATTGAACTTCCCCTCACATAGAGCAGTTGTGCAGCACTCTATTTGTAGTATCTGGAAGTGGACATTTGGAGGGCTTTGTAGCCTATCTGGAAAAAGGAAATATCTTCCCATGAATGCGAGATAGAAGTAATCTCAGAAACATGTTTATGCTGTATCTACTCAACTAACTGTGCTGAACATTTCTATTGATAGAGCAGTTTTGAGACACTCTTCTTTTGGAATCTGCAAGTGGATATTTGGATAGATTTGAGGATTTCGTTGGAAACGGGATTATATATAAAAAGTAGACAGCAGCATTCTCAGAAACTTCTTTGTGATGTTTGCATCCAGCTCTCAGAGTTGAACATTCCCTTTCATAGAGTAGGTTTGAAACCCTCTTTTTATAGTGTCTGGAAGCGGGCATTTGGAGCGCTTTCAGGCCTATGCTTAAAATAGGAAATATCTACCTACAGAAACTAGACAGAAGCATTCTGAGAATCACGTTTGTGATGTGGGTACTCAACTAACAGTGTTGATCCATTCTTTTGATACAGCAGTTTTGAACCACACTTTTTGTAGAATCTGCAAGAGGATATTTGGATAGCTGTGAGGATTTCGTTGGAAACGGGAATGTCTTCAAAGAAAATCTAGACAGAAGCATTCTCAGAAACACCTTCGTGATGTTTGCAATCAAGTCACAGAGTTGAACCTTCCGTTTCATAGAGCAGGTTGGAAACACTCTTATTGTAGTATCTGGAAGTGGACATTTGGAGCGCTTTCAGGCCTATGGTGAAAAAGGAAATATCTTCCCATAAAAACGACATAGAAGCTATCTCAGGAACTTGTTTATGATGCATCTAATCAACTAACAGTGTTGAACCTTTGTACTGACAGAGCAGTTTGAAACACTTTTTTTTTGGAATCTGCAAGTGGATATTTGGATCGCTTTGAGGATTTCGTTGGAAACGGGATGCAATATAAAACGTACACAGCAGCATACTCAGAAAATACTTTGCCATATTTCCATTCAAGTCACAGAGTGGAACATTCCCATTCATAGAGCAGGTTGGAAACACTCTTTTTGGAGTATCTGGAAGTGGACATTTGGAGCGCTTTCTGAACTATGGTGAAAAAGGAAATATCTTCCAATGAAAACAAGACAGAAGCATTCTGAGAAACTTATTTGTGATGTGTGTCCTCAACAAACGGACTTGAACCTTTCGTTTCATGCAGTACTTCTGGAACACTCTTTTTGAAGATTCTGCATGCGGATATTTGGATAGCTTTGAGGATTTCGTTGGAAACGGGCTTACATGTAAAAATTAGACAGCAGCATTCTCAGAAACTTCTTTGTGGTGTCTGCATTCAAGTCACAGAATTGAACTTCCCCTCACATAGAGCAGTTGTGCAGCACTCTATTTGTAGTATCTGGAAGTGGACATTTGGAGGGCTTTGTAGCCTATCTGGAAAAAGGAAATATCTTCCCATGAATGCGAGATAGAAGTAATCTCAGAAACATGTTTATGCTGTATCTACTCAACTAACTGTGCTGAACATTTCTATTGATAGAGCAGTTTTGAGACCCTCTTCTTTTGGAATCTGCAAGTGGATATTTGGATAGATTTGAGGATTTCGTTGGAAACGGGATTATATATAAAAAGTAGACAGCAGCATTCTCAGAAACTTCTTTGTGATGTTTGCATCCAGCTCTCAGAGTTGAACATTCCCTTTCATAGAGTAGGTTTGAAACCCTCTTTTTATAGTGTCTGGAAGCGGGCATTTGGAGCGCTTTCAGGCCTATGCTGAAAAAGGAGATATCTACCTATAGAAACTAGACAGAAGCATTCCGAGAATCACGTTTGTGATGTGGGTACTCAACTAACAGTGTTGATCCATTCTTTTGATACAGCAGTTTTGAACCACACTTTTTGTAGAATCTGCAAGTGGATATTTGGATAGCTGTGAGGATTTCGTTGGAAACGGGAATGTCTTCATAGAAAATTTAGACAGAAGCATTCTCAGAACCTTGATTGTGATGTGTGTTCTCCACTAACAGAGTTGAACCTTTCTTTTGACAGAACTGTTCTGAAACATTCTTTTTATAGAATCTGGAAGTGGATATTTGGAAAGCTTTGAGGATTTCGTTGGAAACGGGAATATCTTCAAATAAAATCTAGCCAGAAGCATTCTAAGAAACATCTTAGGGATGTTTACATTCAAGTCAGAGAGTTGAACATTCCCTTTCACAGAGCAGGTTTGAAACAATCTTCTCGTACTATCTGGAAGTGGACATTTTGAGCTCCTTGGGGCCTATGCTGAAAAAGGAAATATATTCCGACAAAAACTAGACAGAAGCATTCGCAGAATCACGTTTGTGATGTGTGCACTCAACTGTCAGAATTGAACCTTTGTTTGGACAGAGCACTTTTGAAACACTCTTTTTGTAGAATCTGCAGGTGGATATTTGACTAGCTTTGAGGATTTCGTTGGAAACGGTAATGTCTTCAAAGAAAATCTAGACAGAAGCATTCTCAGAAACACCTTCGTGATGTTTGCAATCAAGTCACAGAGTTGAACCTTCCGTTTCATAGAGCAGGTTGGAAACACTCTTATTGTAGTATCTGGAAGTGGACATTTGGAGCGCTTTCAGGCCTATGGTGAAAAAGGAAATATCTTCCCATAAAAACGACATAGAAGCTATCTCAGGAACTTGTTTATGATGCATCTAATCAACTAACAGTGTTGAACCTTTCTACTGACAGAGCAGTTTGAAACACTCTTTTTTTGGAATCTGCAAGTGGATATTTGGATCGCTTTGAGGATTTCGTTGGAAACGGGATGCAATATAAAACGTACACAGCAGCATACTCAGAAAATACTTTGCCATATTTCCATTCAAGTCACAGAGTGGAACATTCCCATTCATAGAGCAGGTTTGAAACACTCTTTTTGGAGTATCTGGAAGTGGACATTTGGAGCGCTTTCTGAACTATGGTGAAAAAGGAAATATCTTCCAATGAAAACAAGACAGAAGAATTCTGAGAAACTTATTTGTGATGTGTGTCCTCAACAAACGGACTTGAACCTTTCGTTTCATGCAGTACTTCTGGAACACTCTTTTTGAAGATTCTGCATGCGGATATTTGGATAGCTTTGAGGATTTCGTTGGAAACGGTCTTACATGTAAAAATTAGACAGCAGCATTCTCAGAAACTTCTTTGTGGTGTCTGCATTCAAGTCACAGAATTGAACTTCCCCTCACATAGAGCAGTTGTGCAGCACTCTATTTGTAGTATCTGGAAGTGGACATTTGGAGGGCTTTGTAGCCTATCTGGAAAAAGGAAATATCTTCCCATGAATGCGAGATAGAAGTAATCTCAGAAACATGTTTATGCTGTATCTACTCAACTAACTGTGCTGAACATTTCTATTGATAGAGCAGTTTTGAGACACTCTTCTTTTGGAATCTGCAAGTGGATATTTGGATAGATTTGAGGATTTCGTTGGAAACGGGATTATATATAAAAAGTAGACAGCAGCATTCTCAGAAACTTCTTTGTGATGTTTGCATCCAGCTCTCAGAGTTGAACATTCCCTTTCATAGAGTAGGTTTGAAACCCTCTTTTTATAGTGTCTGGAAGCGGGCATTTGGAGCGCTTTCAGGCCTATGCTTAATATAGGAAATATCTACCTACAGAAACTAGACAGAAGCATTCTGAGAATCACGTTTGTGATGTGGGTACTCAACTAACAGTGTTGATCCATTCTTTTGATACAGCAGTTTTGAACCACACTTTTTGTAGAATCTGCAAGAGGATATTTGGATAGCTGCGAGGATTTCGTTGGAAACGGGAATGTCTTCAAAGAAAATCTAGACAGAAGCATTCTCAGAAACACCTTCGTGATGTTTGCAATCAAGTCACAGAGTTGAACCTTCCGTTTCATAGAGCAGGTTGGAAACACTCTTATTGTAGTATCTGGAAGTGGACATTTGGAGCGCTTTCAGGCCTATGGTGAAAAAGGAAATATCTTCCCATAAAAACGACATAGAAGCTATCTCAGGAACTTGTTTATGATGCATCTAATCAACTAACAGTGTTGAACCTTTGTACTGACAGAGCAGTTTGAAACACTCTTTTTTTGGAATCTGCAAGTGGATATTTGGATCGCTTTGAGGATTTCGTTGGAAACGGGATGCAATATAAAACGTACACAGCAGCATACTCAGAAAATACTTTGCCATATTTCCATTCAAGTCACAGAGTGGAACATTCCCATTCATAGAGCAGGTTTGAAACACTCTTTTTGGAGTATCTGGAAGTGGACATTTGGAGCGCTTTCTGAACTATGGTGAAAAAGGAAATATCTTCCAATGAAAACAAGACAGAAGCATTCTGAGAAACTTATTTGTGATGTGTGTCCTCAACAAACGGACTTGAACCTTTCGTTTCATGCAGTACTTCTTGAACACTCTTTTTGAAGATTCTGCATGCGGATATTTGGATAGCTTTGAGGATTTCGTTGGAAACGGGCTTACATGTAAAAATTAGACAGCAGCATTCTCAGAAACTTCTTTGTGGTGTCTGCATTCAAGTCACAGAATTGAACTTCCCCTCACATAGAGCAGTTGTGCAGCACTCTATTTGTAGTATCTGGAAGTGGACATTTGGAGGGCTTTGTAGCCTATCTGGAAAAAGGAAATATCTTCCCATGAATGCGAGATAGAAGTAATCTCAGAAACATGTTTATGCTGTATCTACTCAACTAACTGTGCTGAACATTTCTATTGATAGAGCAGTTTTGAGACACTCTTCTTTTGGAATCTGCAAGTGGATATTTGGATAGATTTGAGGATTTCGTTGGAAATGGGATTATATATAAAAAGTAGACAGCAGCATTCTCAGAAACTTCTTTGTGATGTTTGCATCCAGCTCTCAGAGTTGAGCATTCCCTTTCATAGAGTAGGTTTGAAACCCTCTTTTTATAGTGTCTGCAAGCGGGCATTTGGAGCGCTTTCAGGCCTATGCTTAAAATAGGAAATATCTACCTACAGAAACTAGACAGAAGCATTCTGAGAATCACGTTTGTGATGTGGGTACTCAACTAACAGTGTTGATCCATTCTTTTGATACAGCAGTTTTGAACCACACTTTTTGTAGAATCTGCAAGTGGATATTTGGATAGCTGTGAGGATTTCGTTGGAAACGGGAATGTCTTCATAGAAAATTTAGACAGAAGCATTCTCAGAACCTTGATTGTGATGTGTGTTCTCCACTAACAGAGTTGAACCTTTCTTTTGACAGAACTGTTCTGAAACATTCTTGTTATAGAATCTGGAAGTGGATATTTGGAAAGCTTTGAGGATTTCGTTGGAAACGGGAATATCTTCAAATAAAATCTAGCCAGAAGCATTCTAAGAAACAGCTTAGGGATGTTTACATTCAAGTCACAGAGTTGAACATTCCCTTTCACAGAGCAGGTTTGAAACAATCTTCTCGTACTATCTGGCAGTGGACATTTTGAGCTCCTTGGGGCCTATGCTGAAAAAGGAAATATCTTCCGACAAAAACTAGACAGAAGCATTCGCAGAATCACGTTTGTGATGTGTGCACTCAACTGTCAGAATTGAACCTTGGTTTGGACAGAGCACTTTTGAAACACTCTTTTTGTAGAATCTGCAGGTGGATATTTGGCTAGCTTTGAGGATTTCGTTGGAAACGGTAATGTCTTCAAAGAAAATCTAGACAGAAACATCCTCAGAAACACCTTCGTGATGTTTGCAATCAAGTCACAGAGTTGAACCTTCCGTTTCATAGAGCAGGTTGGAAACACTCATTTTGTAGTATCTGGAAGTGGACATTTGGAGCGCTTTCAGGCCTATGGTGTAAAAGGAAATATCTTCCCATAAAAGCGACATAGAAGCTATCTCAGGAACTTGTTTATGATGCATCTAATCAACTAACAGTGTTGAACTTTGTACTGACAGAGCAGTTTGAAACACTCTTTTTTTGGAATCTGCAAGTGGATATTTGGATCGCTTTGAGGATTTCGTTGGAAACGGGATGCAATATAAAACGTACACAGCAGCATACTCAGAAAATACTTTGCCATATTTCCATTCAAGTCACAGAGTGGAACATTCCCATTCATAGAGCAGGTTGGAAACACTCCTTTTGTAGTATCTGGAAGTGGACATTTGGAGCGCTTTCTGAACTATGGTGAAAGAGGAAATATACTTCCAATGAAAACAAGACAGAAGCATTCTGAGAAACTTATTTGTGATGTGTGTCCTCAACAAACGGACTTGAACCTTTCGTTTCATGCAGTACTTCTGGAACACTCTTTTTGAAGATTCTGCATGCGGATATTTGGATAGCTTTGAGGATTTCGTTGGAAACGGGCTTACATGTAAAAATTAGACAGCAGAATTCTCAGAAACTTCTTTGTGGTGTCTGCATTCAAGTCACAGAATTGAACTTCCCCTCACATAGAGCAGTTGTGCAGCACTCTATTTGTAGTATCTGGAAGTGGACATTTGGAGGGCTTTGTAGCCTATCTGGAAAAAGGAAATATCTTCCCATGAATGCGAGATAGAAGTAATCTCAGAAACATGTTTATGCTGTATCTACTCAACTAACTGTGCTGAACATTTCTATTGATAGAGCAGTTTTCAGACACTCTTCTTTTGGAATCTGCAAGTGGATATTTGGATAGATTTGAGGATTTCGTTGGAAACGGGATTATATATAAAAAGTAGACAGCAGCATTCTCAGAAACTTCTTTGTGATGTTTGCATCCAGCTCCCAGAGTTGAACATTCCCTTTCATAGAGTACGTTTGAAACCCTCTTTTTATAGTGTCTGGAAGCGGGCATTTGGAGCGCTTTCAGGCCTATGCTGAAAAAGGAAATATCTACCTATAGAAACTAGACAGAAGCATTCTGAGAATCACGTTTGTGATGTGGGTACTCAACTAACAGTGTTGATCCATTCTTTTGATACAGCAGTTTTGAACCACACTTTTTGTAGAATCTGCAAGTGGATATTTGGATAGCTGTGAGGATTTCGTTGGAAACGGGAATGTGCTTCATAGAAAATTTAGACAGAAGCATTCTCAGAACCTTGATTGTGATGTGTGTTCTCCACTAACAGAGTTGAACCTTTCTTTTGACAGAACTGTTCTGAAACATTCTTTTTATAGAATCTGGAAGTGGATATTTGGAAAGCTTTGAGGATTTCGTTGGAAACGGGAATATCTTCAAATAAAATCTAGCCAGAAGCATTCTAAGAAACATCTTAGGGATGTTTACATTCAAGTCACAGAGTTGAACATTCCCTTTCACAGAGCAGGTTTGAAACAATCTTCTCGTACTATGTGGCAGTGGACATTTTGAGCTCCTTGGGGCCTATGCTGAAAAAGGAAATATCTTCCGACAAAAACTAGACAGAAGCATTCGCAGAATCACGTTTGTGATGTGTGCACTCAACTGTCAGAATTGAACCTTGGTTTGGACAGAGCACTTTTGAAACACTCTTTTTGTAGAATCTGCAGGTGGATATTTGGCTAGCTTTGAGGATTTCGTTGGAAACGGTAATGTCTTCAAAGAAAATCTAGACAGAAGCATTCTCAGAAACACCTTCGTGATGTTTGCAATCAAGTCACAGAGTTGAACCTTCCGTTTCATAGAGCAGGTTGGAAACACTCTTTTTGTAGTATCTGGAAGTGGACATTTGGAGGGCTTTGTAGCCTATCTGGAAAAAGGAAATATCTTCCCATGAATGCGAGATAGAAGTAATCTCAGAAACATGTTTATGCTGTATCTACTCAACTAACTGTGCTGAACATTTCTATTGATAGAGCAGTTTTGAGACACTCTTCTTTTGGAATCTGCAAGTGGATATTTGGATAGATTTGAGGATTTCGTTGGATACGGGATTATATATCAAAAGTAGACAGCCAGCATTCTCAGAAAACTTCTTTGTGATGTTTGCATCCAGCTCTCAGAGTTGAACATTCCCTTTCATAGAGTAGGTTTGAAACCCTCTTTTTATAGTGTCTGGAAGCGGGCATTTGGAGCGCTTTCAGGCCTATGCTTAAAATAGGAAATATCTACCTACAGAAACTAGACAGAAGCTTTCTGAGAATCACGTTTGTGATGTGGGTACTCAACTAACAGTGTTGATCCATTCTTTTGATACAGCAGTTTTGAACCACACTTTTTGTAGAATCTGCAAGTGGATATTTGGACAGCTGTGAGGATTTCCTTGGAAACGGGAATGTCTTCATAGAAAATTTAGACAGAAGCATTCTCAGAACCTTGATTGTGATGTGTGTTCTCCACTAACAGGGTTGAACCTTTCTTTTGACAGAACTGTTTTGAAACATTCTTTTTATAGAATCTGGAAGTGGATATTTGGAAAGCTTTGAGGATTTCGTTGGAAACGGGAATATCTTCAAATCAAATCTAGCCAGAATCATTCTAAGAAACATCTTAGGGATGTTTACATTCAAGTCACAGAGTTGAACATTTCCTTTCACAGAGCAGGTTTGAAACAATCTTCTCGTACTATCTGGAAGTGGACATTTTGAGCTCCTTGGGGCCTATGCTGAGAAAGGAAATATCTTCCGACAAAAACTAGACAGAAGCATTCGCAGAATCACGTTTGTGATGTGTGCACTCAACTGTCAGAATTGAATCTTTGTTTGGACAGAGCACTTTTGAAACACTCTTTTTGTAGAATCTGCAGGTGGATATTTGGCTAGCTTTGAGGATTTCGTTGGAAACGGTAATGTCTTCAAAAAAAATCTAGACAGAAGCATTCTCAGAAACACCTTCGTGATGTTTGCAATCAAGTCACAGAGTTGAACCTTCCGTTTCATAGAGCAGGTTGGAAACACTCTTATTGTAGTATCTGGAAGTGGACATTTGGAGCGCTTTCAGGCCTATGGTGAAAAAGGAAATATCTTCCCATAAAAACGACATAGAAGCTATCTCAGGAACTTGTTTATGATGCATCTAATCAACTAACAGTGTTGAACCTTTGTACTGACAGAGCACTTTGAAACACTCTTTTTTTGGAATCTGCAAGTGGATATTTGGATCGCTTTGAGGATTTCGTTGGAAACGGGAGGCAATATAAAACGTACACAGCAGCATACTCAGAAAATACTTTGCCATGTTTCCATTCAAGTCACAGAGTGGAACATTCCCATTCATAGAGCAGGTTGGAAACACTCTTTTTGGAGTATCTGGAAGTGGACATTTGGAGCGCTTTCTGAACTATGGTGAAAAAGGAAATATCTTCCAATGAAAACAAGACAGAAGCATTCTGAGAAACTTATTTGTGATGTGTGTCCTCAACAAACGGACTTGAACCTTTCGTTTCATGCAGTACTTCTGGAACACTCTTTTTGAAGATTCTGCATGCGGATATTTGGATAGCTTTGAGGATTTCGTTGGAAACGGGCTTACATGTAAAAATTAGACAGCAGCATTCTCAGAAACTTCTTTGTGGTGTCTGCATTCAAGTCACAGAATTGAACTTCCCCTCACATAGAGCAGTTGTGCAGCACTCTATTTGTAGTATCTGGAAGTGGACATTTGGAGGGCTTTGTAGCCTATCTGGAAAAAGGAAATATCTTCCCATGAATGCGAGATAGAAGTAATCTCAGAAACATGTTTATGCTGTATCTACTCAACTAACTGTGCTGAACATTTCTATTGATAGAGCAGTTTTGAGACACTCTTCTTTTGGAATCTGCAAGTGGATATTTGGATAGATTTGAGGATTTCGTTGGAAACGGGATTATATATAAAAAGTAGACAGCAGCATTCTCAGAAACTTCTTTGTGATGTTTGCATCCAGCTCTCAGAGTTGAGCATTCCCTTTCATAGAGTAGTTTTGAAACCCTCTTTTTATAGTGTCTGGAAGCGGGCATTTGGAGCGCTTTCAGGCCTATGCTTAAAATAGGAAATATCTACCTACAGAAACTAGACAGAAGCATTCTGAGAATCACGTTTGTGATGTGGGTACTCAACTAACAGTGTTGATCCATTCTTTTGATACAGCAGTTTTGAACCACACTTTTTGTAGAATCTGCAAGAGGATATTTGGATAGCTGTGAGGATTTCGTTGGAAACGGGAATGTCTTCAAAGAAAATCTAGACAGAAAGCATTCTCAGAAACACCTTCGTGATGTTTGCAATCAAGTCACAGAGTTGAACCTTCCGTTTCATAGAGCAGGTTGGAAACACTCTTATTGTAGTATCTGGAAGTGGACATTTGGAGCGCTTTCAGGCCTATGGTGAAAAAGGAAATATCTTCCCATAAAAACGACATAGAGCTATCTCAGGAACTTGTTTATGATGCATCTAATCAACTAACAGTGTTGAACCTTTGTACTGACAGAGCAGTTTGAAACACTCTTTTTTTGGAATCTGCAAGTGGATATTTGGATCGCTTTGAGGATTTCGTTGGAAACGGGATGCAATATAAAACGTACACAGCAGCATACTCAGAAAATACTTTGCCATATTTCCATTCAAGTCACAGAGTGGAACATTCCCATTCATAGAGCAGGTTTGAAACACACTTTTTGGAGTATCTGGAAGTGGACATTTGGAGCGCTTTCTGAACTATGGTGAAAAAGGAAATATCTTCCAATGAAAACAAGACAGAAGCATTCTGAGAAACTTATTTGTGATGTGTGTCCTCAACAAACGGACTTGAACCTTTCGTTTCATGCAGTACTTCTGGAACACTCTTTTTGAAGATTCTGCATGCGGATATTTGGATAGCTTTGAGGATTTCGTTGGAAACGGGCTTACATGTAAAAATTAGACAGCAGCATTCTCAGAAACTTCTTTGTGGTGTCTGCATTCAAGTCACAGAATTGAACTTCTCCTCACATAGAGCAGTTGTGCAGCACTCTATTTGTAGTATCTGGAAGTGGACATTTGGAGGGCTTTGTAGCCTATCTGGAAAAAGGAAATATCTTCCCATGAATGCGAGATAGAAGTAATCTCAGAAACATGTTTATGCTGTATCTACTCAACTAACTGTGCTGAACATTTCTATTGATAGAGCAGTTTTGAGACCCTCTTCTTTTGGAATCTGCAAGTGGATATTTGGATAGATTTGAGGATTTCGTTGGAAACGGGATTATATATAAAAAGTAGACAGCAGCATTCTCAGAAACTTCTTTGTGATGTTTGCATCCAGCTCTCAGAGTTGAACATTCCCTTTCATAGAGTAGGTTTGAAACCCTCTTTTTATAGTGTCTGGAAGCGGGCATTTGGAGCGCTTTCAGGCCTATGCTGAAAAAGGAAATATCTACATTTAGAAACTAGACAGAAGCATTCTGAGAATCAAGTTTGTGATGTGGGTACTCAACTAACAGTGTTGATCCATTCTTTTGATACAGCAGTTTTGAACCACACTTTTTGTAGAATCTGCAAGTGGATATTTGGATAGCTGTGAGGATTTCGTTGGAAACGGGAATGTCTTCATAGAAAATTTAGACAGAAGCATTCTCAGAACCTTGATTGTGATGTGTGTTCTCCACTAACAGAGTTGAACCTTTCTTTTGACAGAACTGTTCTGAAACATTCTTTTTATAGAATCTGGAAGTGGATATTTGGAAAGCTTTGAGGATTTCGTTGGAAACGGGAATATCTTCAAATAAAATCTAGCCAGAAGCATTCTAAGAAACATCTTAGGGATGTTTACATTCAAGTCACAGAGTTGAACATTCCCTTTCACAGAGCAGGTTTGAAACAATCTTCTCGTACTATCTGGCAGTGGACATTTTGAGCTCCTTGGGGCCTATGCTGAAAAAGGAAATATCTTCCGACAAAAACTAGACAGAAGCATTCGCAGAATCACGTTTGTGATGTGTGCACTCAACTGTCAGAATTGAACCTTTGTTTGGACAGAGCACTTTTGAAACACTCTTTTTGTAGAATCTGCAGGTGGATATTTGGCTAGCTTTGAGGATTTCGTTGGAAACGGTAATGTCTTCAAAGAAAATCTAGACAGAAGCATTCTCAGAAACACCTTCGTGATGTTTGCAATCAAGTCACAGAGTTGAACCTTCCGTTTCATAGAGCAGGTTGGAAACACTCTTTTTGTAGTATCTGGAAGTGGACATTTGGAGGGCTTTGTAGCCTATCTGGAAAAAGGAAATATCTTCCCATGAATGCGAGATAGAAGTAATCTGAGAAACATGTTTATGCTGTATCTACTCAACTAACTGTGCTGAACATTTCTATTGATAGAGCAGTTTTGAGACACTCTTCTTTTGGAATCTGCAAGTGGATATTTGGATAGATTTGAGGATTTCGTTGGAAACGGGATTATATATAAAAAGTAGACAGCAGCATTCTCAGAAACTTCTTTGTGATGTTTGCATCCAGCTCTCAGAGTTGAGCATTCCCTTTCATAGAGTAGGTTTGAAACCCTCTTTTTATAGTGTCTGGAAGCGGGCATTTGGAGCGCTTTCAGGCCTATGCTTAAAATAGGAAATATCTACCTACAGAAACTAGACAGAAGCATTCTGAGAATCACGTTTGTGATGTGGGTACTCAACTAACAATGTTGATCCATTCTTTTGATACGGCAGTTTTGAACCACACTTTTTGTAGAATCTGCAAGAGGATATTTGGATAGCTGTGAGGATTTCGTTGGAAACGGGAATGTCTTCAAAGAAAATCTAGACAGAAGCATTCTCAGAAACACCTTCGTGATGTTTGCAATCAAGTCACAGAGTTGAACCTTCCGTTTCATAGAGCAGGTTGGAAACACTCTTATTGTAGTATCTGGAAGTGGACATTTGGAGCGCTTTCAGGCCTATGGTGAAAAAGGAAATATCTTCCCATAAAAACGACATAGAAGCTATCTCAGGAACTTGTTTATGATGCATCTAATCAACTAACAGTGTTTGAACCTTTGTACTGACAGAGCAGTTTGAAACACTCTTTTTTTGGAATCTGCAAGTGGATATTTGGATCGCTTTGAGGATTTCGTTGGAAACGGGATGCAATATAAAACGTACACAGCAGCATACTCAGAAAATACTTTGCCATATTTCCATTCAAGTCACAGAGTGGAACATTCCCATTCATAGAGCAGGTTGGAAACACTCTTTTTGGAGTATCTGGAAGTGGACATTTGGAGCGCTTTCTGAACTATGGTGAAAAAGGAAATATCTTCCAATGAAAACAAGACAGAAGCATTCTGAGAAACTTATTTGTGATGTGTGTCCTCAACAAACGGACTTGAACCTTTCGTTTCATGCAGTACTTCTGGAACACTCTTTTTGAAGATTCTGCATGCGGATATTTGGATAGCTTTGAGGATTTCGTTGGAAACGGGCTTACATGTAAAAATTAGACAGCAGCATTCTCAGAAACTTCTTTGTGGTGTCTGCATTCAAGTCACAGAATTGAACTTCCCCTCACATAGAGCAGTTGTGCAGCACTCTATTTGTAGTATCTCGAAGTGGACATTTGGAGGGCTTTGTAGCCTATCTGGAAAAAGGAAATATCTTCCCATGAATGCGAGATAGAAGTAATCTCAGAAACATGTTTATGCTGTATCTACTCAACTAACTGTGCTGAACATTTCTATTGATAGAGCAGTTTTGAGACACTCTTCTTTTGGAATCCGCAAGTGGATATTTGGAGAGATTTGAGGATTTCGTTGGAAACGGGATTATATATAAAAGGTAGACAGCAGCATTCTCAGAAACTTCTTTGTGATGTTTGCATCCAGCTCTCAGAGTTGAACATTCCCTTTCACAGAGTAGGTTTGAAACCCCCTTTTTATAGTGTCTGGAAGCGGGCATTTGGAACGCTTTCAGGCCTATGCTGAAAAAGGAAATATCTACCTTCAGAAACTAGACAGAAGCGTTCTGAGAATCACGTTTGTGATGTGGGTACTCAACTAACAGTGTTGATCCATTCTTTTGATACTGCAGTTTTGAACCACCCTTTTTGTAGAATCTGCAAGAGGATATTTGGATAGCTGTGAGGATTTAGTTGGAAACGGGAATGTCTTCATAGAAAATTTAGACAGAAGCATTCTCAGAAACACCTTCGTGATGTTTGCAATCAAGTCACAGAGTTGAACCTTCCGTTTCATAGAGCAGGTTGGAAACACTCTTATTGTAGTATCTGGAAGTGGACATTTGGAGCGCTTTCAGGCCTATGGTGAAAAAGGAAATATCTTCCCATAAAAACGACATAGAAGCTATCTCAGGAACTTGTTTATGATGCATCTAATCAACTAACAGTGTTGAACCTTTGTACTGACAGAGCAGCTTGAAACACTCTTTTTTGGAATCTGCAAGTGGATATTTGGATCGCTTTGAGGATTTCGTTGGAAACGGGATGCAATATAAAACGTACACAGCAGCATACTCAGAAAATACTTTGCCATATTTCCATTCAAGTCACAGAGTGGAACATTCCCATTCATAGAGCAGGTTGGAAACACTCTTTTTGGAGTATCTGGAAGTGGACATTTGGAGCGCTTTCTGAACTATGGTGAAAAAGGAAATATCTTCCAATGAAAACAAGACAGAAGCATTCTGAGAAACTTATTTGTGATGTGTGTCCTCAACAAACGGACTTGAACCTTTCGTTTCATGCAGTACTTCTGGAACACTCTTTTTGAAGATTCTGCATGCGGATATTTGGATAGCTTTGAGGATTTCGTTGGAAACGGGCTTACATGTAAAAATTAGACAGCAGCATTCTCAGAAACTTCTTTGTGGTGTCTGCATTCAAGTCACAGAATTGAACTTCCCCTCACATAGAGCAGTTGTGCAGCACTCTATTTGTAGTATCTGGAAGTGGACATTTGGAGGGCTTTGTAGCCTATCTGGAAAAAGGAAATATCTTCCCATGAATGCGAGATAGAAGTAATCTCAGAAACATGTTTATGCTGTATCTACTCAACTAACTGTGCTGAACATTTCTATTGATAGAGCAGTTTTGAGACACTCTTCTTTTGGAATCTGCAAGTGGATATTTGGATAGATTTGAGGATTTCGTTGGAAACGGGATTATATATAAAAAGTAGACAGCAGCATTCTCAGAAACTTCTTTGTGATGTTTGCATCCAGCTCTCAGAGTTGAACATTCCCTTTCATAGAGTAGGTTTGAAACCCTCTTTTTATAGTGTCTGCAAGCGGGCATTTGGAGCGCTTTCAGGCCTATGCTTAAAATAGGAAATATCTACCTACAGAAACTAGACAGAAGCATTCTGAGAATCACGTTTGTGATGTGGGTACTCAACTAACAGTGTTGATCCATTCTTTTGATACAGCAGTTTTGAACCACACTTTTTGTAGAATCTGCAAGAGGATATTTGGATAGCTGTGAGGATTTCGTTGGAAACGGGAATGTCTTCAAAGAAAATCTAGACAGAAGCATTCTCAGAAACACCTTCGTGATGTTTGCAATCAAGTCACAGAGTTGAACCTTCCGTTTCATAGAGCAGGTTGGAAACACTCTTTTTGTAGTATCTGGAAGTGGACATTTGGAGCGCTTTCAGGCCTATGGTGAAAAAGGAAATATCTTCCCATAAAAACGACATAGAAGCTATCTCAGGAACTTGTTTATGATGCATCTAATCAACTAACAGTGTTGAACCTTTGTACTGACAGAGCAGTTTGAAACACTCTTTTTTTGGAATCTGCAAGTGGATATTTGGATCGCTTTGAGGATTTCGTTGGAAACGGGATGCAATATAAAACGTACACAGCAGCATACTCAGAAAATACTTTGCCATATTTCCATTCAAGTCACAGAGTGGAACATTCCCATTCATAGAGCAGGTTGGAAACACTCTTTTTGGAGTATCTGGAAGTGGACATTTGGAGCGCTTTCTGAACTATGGTGAAAAAGGAAATATCTTCCAATGAAAACAAGACAGAAGCATTCTGAGAAACTTATTTGTGATGTGTGTCCTCAACAAACGGACTTGAACCTTTCGTTTCATGCAGTACTTCTGGAACACTCTTTTTGAAGATTCTGCATGCGGATATTTGGATAGCTTTGAGGATTTCGTTGGAAACGGGCTTACATGTAAAAATTAGACAGCAGCATTCTCAGAAACTTCTTTGTGGTGTCTGCATTCAAGTCACAGAATTGAACATCCCCTCACATAGAGCAGTTGTGCAGCACTCTATTTGTAGTATCTGGAAGTGGACATTTGGAGGGCTTTGTAGCCTATCTGGAAAAAGGAAATATCTTCCCATGAATGCGAGATAGAAGTAATCTCAGAAACATGTTTATGCTGTATGTACTCAACTAACTGTGCTGAACATTTCTATTGATAGAGCAGTTTTGAGACACTCTTCTTTTGGAATCTGCAAGTGGATATTTGGATAGATTTGAGGATTTCGTTGGAAACGGGATTATATATCAAAAGTAGACAGCAGCATTCTCAGAAACTTCTTTGTGATGTTTGCATCCAGCTCTCAGAGTTGAACATTCCCTTTCATAGAGTAGGTTTGAAACCCTCTTTTTATAGTGTCTGGAAGCGGGCATTTGGAGCGCTTTCAGGCCTATGCTGAAAAAGGAAATATCTACCTATAGAAACTAGACAGAAGCATTCTGAGAATCACGTTTGTGATGTGGGTACTCAACTAACAGTGTTGATCCATTCTTTTGATACAGCAGTTTTGAACCACACTTTTTGTAGAATCTGCAAGTGGATATTTGGATAGCTGTGAGGATTTCGTTGGAAACTTGAATGTCTTCATAGAAAATTTAGACAGAAGCATTCTCAGAACCTTGATTGTGATGTGTGTTCTCCACTAACAGAGTTGAACCTTTCTTTTGACAGAACTGTTCTGAAACATTCTTTTTATAGAATCTGGAAGTGGATATTTGGAAAGCTTTGAGGATTTCGTTGGAAACGGGAATATCTTCAAATCAAATCTAGCCAGAAGCATTCTAAGAAACATCTTAGGGATGTTTACATTCAAGTCACAGAGTTGAACATTCCCCTTTCTCAGAGCAGGTTTGAAACAATCTTCTCGTACTATCTGGCAGTGGACATTTTGAGCTCCTTGGGGCCTATGCTGATAAAGGAAATATCTTCCGACAAAAACTAGACAGAAGCATTCGCAGAATCACGTTTGTGATGTGTGCACTCAACTGTCAGAATTGAACCTTGGTTTGGACAGAGCACTTTTGAAACACTCTTTTTGTAGAATCTGCAGGTGGATATTTGGCTAGCTTTGAGGATTTCGTTGGAAACGGTAATGTCTTCAAAGAAAATCTAGACAGAAACATCCTCAGAAACACCTTCGTGATGTTTGCAATCAAGTCACAGAGTTGAACCTTCCGTTTCATAGAGCAGGTTGGAAACACTCATTTTGTAGTATCTGGAAGTGGACATTTGGAGCGCTTTCAGGCCTATGGTGTAAAAGGAAATATCTTCCCATAAAAGCGACATAGAAGCTATCTCAGGAACTTGTTTATGATGCATCTAATCAACTAACAGTGTTGAACTTTGTACTGACAGAGCAGTTTGAAACACTCTTTTTTTGGAATCTGCAAGTGGATATTTGGATCGCTTTGAGGATTTCGTTGGAAACGGGATGCAATATAAAACGTACACAGCAGCATACTCAGAAAATACTTTGCCATATTTCCATTCAAGTCACAGAGAGGAACATTCCCATTCATAGAGCAGGTTGGAAGCACTCCTTTTGTAGTATCTCGAAGTGGACATTTGGAGCGCTTTCTGAACTATGGTGAAAAAGGAAATATCTTCCAATGAAAACAAGACAGAAGCATTCTGAGAAACTTATTTGTGATGTGTGTCCTCAACTAACGGACTTGAACCTTTCGTTTCATGCAGTACTTCTGGAACACTCTTTTTGAAGATTCTGCATGCGGATATTTGGATAGCTTTGAGGATTTCGTTGGAAACGGGCTTACATATAAAAATTAGACAGCAGCATTCTCAGAAACTTCTTTGTGGTGTCTGCATTCAAGTCACAGAATTGAACATCCCCTCACATAGAGCAGTTGTGCAGCACTCTATTTGTAGTATCTCGAAGTGGACATTTGGAGGGCTTTGTAGCCTATCTGGAAAAAGGAAATATCTTCCCATGAATGCGAGATAGAAGTAATCTCAGAAACATGTTTATGCTGTATCTACTCAACTAACTGTGCTGAACATTTCTATTGATAGAGCAGTTTTGAGACACTCTTCTTTTGGAATCTGCAAGTGGATATTTGGATAGATTTGAGGATTTCGTTGGAAACGGGATTATATATCAAAAGTAGACAGCAGCATTCTCAGAAACTTCTTTGTGATGTTTGCATCCAGCTCTCAGAGTTGAACATTCCCTTTCACAGAGTAGGTTTGAAACCCCCTTTTTATAGTGTCTGGAAGCGGGCATTTGGAATGCTTTCAGGCCTATGCTGAAAAAGGAAATATCTACCTACAGAAACTAGACAGAAGCATTCTGAGAATCACGTTTGTGATGTGGGTACTCAACTAACAGTGTTGATCCATTCTTTTGATACAGCAGTTTTGAACCACCCTTTTTGAAGAGTCTGCAAGTGGATATTTGGATAGCTGTGAGGATTTCGTTGGAAACGGGAATGTCTTCATAGAAAATTTAGACAGAAGCATTCTCAGAACCTGGATTGTGATGTGTGTTCTCCACTAACAGAGTTGAACCTTTCTTTGGACAGAACTGTTTTGAAACATTCTTTTTATAGAATCTGGAAGTGGATATTTGGAAAGCTTTTAGGATTTCGTTGGAAACGGGAATATCTTCAAATAAAATCTAGCCAGAAGCATTCTAAGAAACATCTTAGGGATGTTTACATTCAAGTCACAGAGTTGAACATTCCCTTTCACAGAGCAGGTTTGAAACAATCTTCTCGTACTATCTGGCAGTGGACATTTTGAGCTCCTTGGGGCCTATGCTGAAAAAGGAAATATCTTCCGACAAAAACTAGACAGAAGCATTCGCAGAATCACGTTTGTGATGTGTGCACTCAACTGTCAGAATTGAACCTTGGTTTGGACAGAGCACTTTTGAAACACTCTTTTTGTAGAATCTGCAGGTGGATATTTGGCTAGCTTTGAGGATTTCGTTGGAAACGGTAATGTCTTCAAAGAAAATCTAGACAGAAGCATTCTCAGAAACACCTTCGTGATGTTTGCAATCAAGTCACAGAGTTGAACCTTCCGTTTCATAGAGCAGGTTGGAAACACTCTTTTTGTAATATCTGGAAGTGGACATTTGGAGCGCTTTCAGGCCTATGGTGAAAAAGGAAATATCTTCCCATAAAAACGACATAGAAGCTATCTCAGGAACTTGTTTATGATGCATCTAATCAACTAACAGTGTTGAACCTTTGTACTGACAGAGCAGTTTGAAACACTCTTTTTTTGGAATCTGCAAGTGGATATTTGGATCGCTTTGAGGATTTCGTTGGAAACGGTATGCAATATAAAACGTACACAGCAGCATACTCAGGAAAATACTTTGCCATATTTCCATTCAAGTCACAGAGTGGAACATTCCCATTCATAGAGCAGGTTGGAAACACTCCTTTTGTAGTATCTGGAAGTGGACATTTGGAGCGCTTTCTGAACTATGGTGAAAGAGGAAATATCTTCCAATGAAAACAAGACAGAAGCATTCTGAGAAACTTATTTGTGATGTGTGTCCTCAACAAACGGACTTGAACCTTTCGTTTCATGCAGTACTTCTGGAACACTCTTTTTGAAGATTCTGCATGCGGATATTTGGATAGCTTTGAGGATTTCGTTGGAAACGGGCTTACATGTAAAAATTAGACAGCAGCATTCTCAGAAACTTCTTTGTGGTGTCTGCATTCAAGTCACAGAATTGAACTTCCCCTCACATAGAGCAGTTGTGCAGCACTCTATTTGTAGTATCTGGAAGTGGACATTTGGAGGGCTTTGTAGCCTATCTGGAAAAAGGAAATATCTTCCCATGAATGCGAGATAGAAGTAATCTCAGAAACATGTTTATGCTGTATCTACTCAACTAACTGTGCTGAACATTTCTATTGATAGAGCAGTTTTGAGACACTCTTCTTTTGGAATCTGCAAGTGGATATTTGGATAGATTTGAGGATTTCGTTGGAAACGGGATTATATATAAAAAGTAGACAGCAGCATTCTCAGAAACTTCTTTGTGATGTTTGCATCCAGCTCTCAGAGTTGAGCATTCCCTTTCATAGAGTAGGTTTGAAACCCTCTTTTTATAGTGTCTGGAAGCGGGCATTTGGAGCGCTTTCAGGCCTATGCTTAAAATAGGAAATATCTACCTACAGAAACTAGACAGAAGCATTCTGAGAATCACGTTTGTGATGTGGGTACTCAACTAACAGTGTTGATCCATTCTTTTCATACAGCAGTTTTGAACCACACTTTTTGTAGAATCTGCAAGTGGATATTTGGAGAGCTGTGAGGATTTCGTTGGAAACGGGAATGTCTTCAAAGAAAATCTAGACAGAAGCATTCTCAGAAACACCTTCGTGATGTTTGCAATCAAGTCACAGAGTTGAACCTTCCGTTTCATAGAGCAGGTTGGAAACACTCTTATTGTAGTATCTGGAAGTGGACATTTGGAGCGCTTTCAGGCCTATGGTGAAAAAGGAAATATCTTCCCATAAAAACGACATAGAAGCTATCTCAGGAACTTGTTTATGATGCATCTAATCAACTAACAGTGTTGAACCTTTGTACTGACAGAGCAGTTTGAAACACTCTTTTTTTGGAATCTGCAAGTGGATATTTGGATCGCTTTGAGGATTTCGTTGGAAACGGGATGCAATATAAAACGTACACAGCAGCATACTCAGAAAATACTTTGCCATATTTCCATTCAAGTCACAGAGTGGAACATTCCCATTCATAGAGCAGGTTGGAAACACTCTTTTTGGAGTATCTGGAAGTGGACATTTGGAGCGCTTTCTGAACTATGGTGAAAAAGGAAATATCTTCCAATGAAAACAACACAGAAGCATTCTGAGAAACTTATTTGTGATGTGTGTCCTCAACAAACGGACTTGAACCTTTCGTTTCATGCAGTACTTCTGGAACACTCTTTTTGAAGATTCTGCATGCGGATATTTGGATAGCTTTGAGGATTTCGTTGGAAACGGTCTTACATGTAAAAATTAGACAGCCAGCATTCTCAGAAACTTCTTTGTGGTGTCTGCATTCAAGTCACAGAATTGAACTTCCCCTCACATAGAGCAGTTGTGCAGCACTCTATTTGTAGTATCTGGAAGTGGACATTTGGAGGGCTTTGTAGCCTATCTGGAAAAAGGAAATATCTTCCCATGAATGCGAGATAGAGTAATCTCAGAAACATGTTTATGCTGTATCTACTCAACTAACTGTGCTGAACATTTCTATTGATAGAGCAGTTTTGAGACACTCTTCTTTTGGAATCTGCAAGTGGATATTTGGATAGATTTGAGGATTTCGTTGGAAACGGGATTATATATAAAAAGTAGACAGCAGCATTCTCAGAAACTTCTTTGTGATGTTTGCATCCAGCTCTCAGAGTTGAACATTCCCTTTCATAGAGTAGGTTTGAAACCCTCTTTTTATAGTGTCTGGAAGCGGGCATTTGGAGCGCTTTCAGGCCTATGCTTAAAATAGGAAATATCTACCTACAGAAACTAGACAGAAGCATTCTGAGAATCACGTTTGTGATGTGGGTACTCAACTAACAGTGTTGATCCATTCTTTTGATACAGCAGTTTTGAACCACACTTTTTGTAGAATCTGCAAGAGGATATTTGGATAGCTGTGAGGATTTCGTTGGAAACGGGAATGTCTTCAAAGAAAATCTAGACAGAAGCATTCTCAGAAACACCTTCGTGATGTTTGCAATCAAGTCACAGAGTTGAACCTTCCGTTTCATAGAGCAGGTTGGAAACACTCTTATTGTAGTATCTGGAAGTGGACATTTGGAGCGCTTTCAGGCCTATGGTGAAAAAGGAAATATCTTCCCATAAAAACGACATAGAAGCTATCTCAGGAACTTGTTTATGATGCATCTAATCAACTAACAGTGTTGAACCTTTGTACTGACAGAGCAGTTTGAAACACTCTTTTTTTGGAATCTGCAAGTGGATATTTGGATCGCTTTGAGGATTTCGTTGGAAACGGGATGCAATATAAAACGTACACAGCAGCATACTCAGAAAATACTTTGCCATATTTCCATTCAAGTCACAGAGTGGAACATTCCCATTCATAGAGCAGGTTTGAAACACTCTTTTTGGAGTATCTGGAAGTGGACATTTGGAGCGCTTTCTGAACTATGGTGAAAAAGGAAATATCTTCCAATGAAAACAAGACAGAAGCATTCTGAGAAACTTATTTGTGATGTGTGTCCTCAACAAACGGACTTGAACCTTTCGTTTCATGCAGTACTTCTGGAACACTCTTTTTGAAGATTCTGCATGCGGATATTTGGATAGCTTTGAGGATTTCGTTGGAAACGGGCTTACATGTAAAAATTAGACAGCAGCATTCTCAGAAACTTCTTTGTGGTGTCTGCATTCAAGTCACAGAATTGAACATCCCCTCACATAGAGCAGTTGTGCAGCACTCTATTTGTAGTATCTCGAAGTGGACATTTGGAGGGCTTTGTAGCCTATCTGGAAAAAGGAAATATCTTCCCATGAAAGCCAGATAGAAGTAATCTCAGAAACATGTTTATGCTGTATCTACTCAACTAACTGTGCTGAACATTTCTATTGATAGAGCAGTTTTGAGACACTCTTCTTTAGGAATCTGCAAGTGGATATTTGGATAGATTTGAGGATTTCGTTGGAAACGGGATTATATATAAAAAGTAGACAGCAGCATTCTCAGAAACTTCTTTGTGATGTTTGCATCCAGCTCTCAGAGTTGAACATTCCCTTTCATAGAGTAGGTTTGAAACCCTCTTTTTATAGTGTCTGGAAGCGGGCATTTGGAGCGCTTTCAGGCCTATGCTGAAAAAGGAAATATCTACCTATAGAAACTAGACAGAAGCATTCTGAGAATCACGTTTGTGATGTGGGTACTCAACTAACAGTGTTGATCCATTCTTTTGATACAGCAGTTTTGAACCACACTTTTTGTAGAATCTGCAAGTGGATATTTGGATAGCTGTGAGGATTTCGTTGGAAACGGGAATGTCTTCATAGAAAATGTAGACAGAAAGCATTCTCAGAACCTTGATTGTGATGTGTGTTCTCCACTAACAGAGTTGAACCTTTCTTTTGACAGAACTGTTTTGAAACATTCTTTTTATAGAATCTGGAAGTGGATATTTGGAAAGCTTTGAGGATTTCGTTGGAAACCGGGAATATCTTCAAATAAAATCTAGCCAGAGCATTCTAAGAAACATCTTAGGGATGTTTACATTCAAGTCACAGAGTTGAACATTCCCTTTCACAGAGCAGGTTTGAAACAATCTTCTCGTACTATCTGGCAGTGGACATTTTGAGCTCCTTGGGGCCTATGCTGAAAAAGGAAATATCTTCCGACAAAAACTAGACAGAAGCATTCGCAGAATCACGTTTGTGATGTGTGCACTCAACTGTCAGAATTGAACCTTGGTTTGGACAGAGCACTTTTGAAACACTCTTTTTGTAGAATCTGCAGGTGGATATTTGGCTAGCTTTGAGGATTTCGTTGGAAACGGTAATGTCTTCAAAGAAAATCTAGACAGAAGCATTCTCAGAAACAGCTTCGTGATGTTTGCAATCAAGTCACAGAGTTGAACCTTCCGTTTCATAGAGCAGGTTGGAAACACTCTTTTTGTAGTATCTGGAAGTGGACATTTGGAGGGCTTTGTAGCCTATCTGGAAAAAGGAAATATCTTCCCATGAATGCGAGATAGAAGTAATCTCAGAAACATGTTTATGCTGTATCTACTCAACTAACTGTGCTGAACATTTCTATTGATAGAGCAGTTTTGAGACACTCTTCTTTTGGAATCTGCAAGTGGATATTTGCATAGATTTGAGGATTTCGTTGGAAACGGGATTATATATAAAAAGTAGACAGCAGCATTCTCAGAAACTTCTTTGTGATGTTTGCATCCAGCTCTCAGAGTTGAGCATTCCCTTTCATAGAGTAGGTTTGAAACCCTCTTTTTATAGTGTCTGGAAGCGGGCATTTGGAGCGCTTTCAGGCCTATGCTTAAAATAGGAAATATCTACCTACAGAAACTAGACAGAAGCATTCTGAGAATCACGTTTGTGATGTGGGTACTCAACTAACAGAGTTGATCCATTCTTTTGATACAGCAGTTTTGAACCACACTTTTTGTAGAATCTGCAAGAGGATATTTGGATAGCTGTGAGGATTTCGTTGGAAACGGGAATGTCTTCAAAGAAAATCTAGACAGAAGCATTCTCAGAAACACCTTCGTGATGTTTGCAATCAAGTCACAGAGTTGAACCTTCCGTTTCATAGAGCAGGTTGGAAACACTCTTATTGTAGTATCTGGAAGTGGACATTTGGAGCGCTTTCAGGCCTATGGTGAAAAAGGAAATATCTTCCCATAAAAACGACATAGAAGCTATCTCAGGAACTTGTTTATGATGCATCTAATCAACTAACAGTGTTGAACCTTTGTACTGACAGAGCAGCTTGAAACACTCTTTTTTGGAATCTGCAAGTGGATATTTGGATCGCTTTGAGGATTTCGTTGGAAACGGGATGCAATATAAAACGTACACAGCAGCATACTCAGAAAATACTTTGCCATATTTCCATTCAAGTCACAGAGTGGAACATTCCCATTCATAGAGCAGGTTTGAAACACTCTTTTTGGAGTATCTGGAAGTGGACATTTGGAGCGCTTTCTGAACTATGGTGAAAAAGGAAATATCTTCCAATGAAAACAAGACAGAAGCATTCTGAGAAACTTATTTGTGATGTGTGTCCTCAACAAACGGACTTGAACCTTTCGTTTCATGCAGTACTTCTGGAACACTCTTTTTGAAGATTCTGCATGCGGATATTTGGATAGCTTTGAGGATTTCGTTGGAAACGGGCTTACATGTAAAAATTAGACAGCAGCATTCTCAGAGACTTCTTTGTGGTGTCTGCATTTAAGTCACAGAATTGAACATCCCCTCACATAGAGCAGTTGTGCAGCACTCTATTTGTAGTATCTGGAAGTGGACATTTGGAGGGCTTTGTAGCCTATCTGGAAAAAGGAAATATCTTCCCATGAATGCGAGATAGAAGTAATCTCAGAAACATGTTTATGCTGTATCTACTCAACTAACTGTGCTGAACATTTCTATTGATAGAGCAGTTTTGAGACACTCTTCTTTTGGAATCTGCAAGTGGATATTTGGATAGATTTGAGGATTTCGTTGGAAACGGGATTATATATAAAAAGTAGACAGCAGCATTCTCAGAAACTTCTTTGTGATGTTTGCATCCAGCTCTCAGAGTTGAACATTCCCTTTCATAGAGTAGGTTTGAAACCCTCTTTTTATAGTGTCTGGAAGCGGGCATTTGGAGCGCTTTCAGGCCTATGCTGAAAAAGGAAATATCTACCTATAGAAACTAGACAGAAGCATTCTGAGAATCACGTTTGTGATGTGGGTACTCAACTAACAGTGTTGATCCATTCTTTTGATACAGCAGTTTTGAACCACACTTTTTGTAGAATCTGCAAGTGGATATTTGGATAGCTGTGAGGATTTCGTTGGAAACGGGAATGTCTTCATAGAAAATTTAGACAGAAGCATTCTCAGAACCTTGATTGTGATGTGTGTTCTCCACTAACAGAGTTGAACCTTTCTTTTGACAGAACTGTTCTGAAACATTCTTTTTATAGAATCTGGAAGTGGATATTTGGAAAGCTTTGAGGATTTCGTTGGAAACGGGAATATCTTCAAATAAAATCTAGCCAGTAGCATTCTAAGAAACATCTTAGGGATGTTTACATGCAAGTCACAGAGTTGAACATTCCCTTTCACAGAGCAGGTTTGAAACAATCTTCTCGTACTATCTGGCAGTGGACATTTTGAGCTCCTTGGGGCCTATGCTGAAAAAGGAAATATCTTCCGACAAAAACTAGACAGAAGCATTCGCAGAATCACGTTTGTGATGTGTGCACTCAACTGTCAGAATTGAACCTTGGTTTGGACAGAGCACTTTTGAAACACTCTTTTTGTAGAATCTGCAGGTGGATATTTGGCTAGCTTTGAGGATTTCGTTGGAAACGGTAATGTCTTCAAAGAAAATCTAGACAGAAGCATTCTCAGAAACACCTTCGTGATGTTTGCAATCAAGTCACAGGAGTTGAACCTTCCGTTTCATAGAGCAGGTTGGAAACACTCTTTTTGTAGTATCTGGAAGTGGACATTTGGAGGGCTTTGTAGCCTATCTGGAAAAAGGAAATATCTTCCCATGAATGCGAGATAGAAGCTATCTCAGGAACTTGTTTATGATGCATCTAATCAAACTAAAAGTGTTGAACCTTTGTACTGACAGAGCAGTTTGAAACACTCTTTTTTTGGAATCTGCAAGTGGATATTTGGATCGCTTTGAGGATTTCGTTGGAAACGGGATGCAATATAAAACGTACACAGCAGCATACTCAGAAAATACTTTGCCATATTTCCATTCAAGTCACAGAGTGGAACATTCCCATTCATAGAGCAGGTTGGAAACACTCTTTTTGGAGTATCTGGAAGTGGACATTTGGAGCGCTTTCTGAACTATGGTGAAAAAGGAAATATCTTCCAATGAAAACAAGACAGAAGCATTCTGAGAAACTTATTTGTGATGTGTGTCCTCAACAAACGGACTTGAACCTTTCATTTCATGCAGTACTTCTGGAACACTCTTTTTGAAGATTCTGCATGCGGATATTTGGATAGCTTTGAGGATTTCGTTGGAAACGGGCTTACATGTAAAAATTAGACAGCAGCATTCTCAGAAACTTCTTTGTGGTGTCTGCATTCAAGTCACAGAATTGAACTTCCCCTCACATAGAGCAGTTGTGCAGCACTCTATTTGTAGTATCTGGAAGTGGACATTTGGAGGGCTTTGTAGCCTATCTGGAAAAAGGAAATATCTTCCCATGAATGCGAGATAGAAGTAATCTCAGAAAGATGTTTATGCTGTATCTACTCAACTAACTGTGCTGAACATTTCTATTGATAGAGCAGTTTTGAGACACTCTTCTTTTGGAATCTGCAAGTGGATATTTGGATAGATTTGAGGATTTCGTTGGAAACGGGATTATATATAAAAAGTAGACAGCAGCATTCTCAGAAACTTCTTTGTGATGTTTGCATCCAGCTCTCAGAGTTGAACATTCCCTTTCATAGAGTAGGTTTGAAACCCTCTTTTTATAGTGTCTGGAAGCGGGCATTTGGAGCGCTTTCAGGCCTATGCTGAAAAAGGAAATATCTACCTATAGAAACTAGACAGAAGCATTCTGAGAATCACGTTTGTGATGTGGGTACTCAACTAACAGTGTTGATCCATTCTTTTGATACAGCAGTTTTGAACCACACTTTTTGTAGAATCTGCAAGTGGATATTTGGATAGCTGTGAGAATTTCGTTGGAAACGGGAATGTCTTCATAGAAAATTTAGACAGAAGCATTCTCAGAACCTTGATTGTGATGTGTGTTCTCCACTAACAGAGTTGAACCTTTCTTTTGACAGAACTGTTCTGAAACATTCTTTTTATAGAATCTGGAAGTGGATATTTGGAAAGCTTTGAGGATTTCGTTGGAAACGGGAATATCTTCAAATCAAATCTAGCCAGAAGCATTCTAAGAAACATCTTAGGGATGTTTACATTCAAGTCACAGGGTTGAACATTCCCTTTCACAGAGCAGGTTTGAAACAATCTTCTCGTACTATCTGGAAGTGGACATTTTGAGCTCCTTGGGGCCTATGCTGAAAAAGGAAATATCTTCCGACAAAAACTAGACAGAAGCATTCGCAGAATCACGTTTGTGATGTGTGCACTCAACTGTCAGAATTGAACCTTGGTTTGGACAGAGCACTGTTGAAACACTCTTTTTGTAGAATCCGCAGGTGGATATTTGGCTAGCTTTGAGGATTTCGTTGGAAACGGTAATGTCTTCAAAGAAAATCTAGACAGAAGCATTCTCAGAAACACCTTTCGTGATGTTTGCAATCAAGTCACAGAGTTGAACCTTCCGTTTCATAGAGCAGGTTGGAAACACTCTTATTGTAGTATCTGGAAGTGGACATTTGGAGCGCTTTCAGGCCTATGGTGAAAAAGGAAATATCTTCCCATAAAAACGACATAGAATCTATATCAGGAACTTGTTTATGATGCATCTAATCAACTAACAGTGTTGAACCTTTGTACTGACAGAGCAGTTTGAAACACTCTTTTTTTGGAATCTGCAAGTGGATATTTGGATCGCTTTGAGGATTTCGTTGGAAACGGGATGCAATATAAAACGTACACAGCAGCATACTCAGAAAATACTTTGCCATATTTCCATTCAAGTCACAGAGTGGAACATTCCCATTCATAGAGCAGGTTTGAAACACTCTTTTTGGAGTATCTGGAAGTGGACATTTGGAGCGCTTTCTGAACTATGGTGAAAAAGGAAATATCTTCCAATGAAAACAAGACAGAAGCATTCTGAGAAACTTATTTGTGATGCGTGTCCTCAACTAACGGACTCGAACCTTTCGTTTCATGCAGTACTTCTGGAACACTCTTGTTGAAGATTCTGCATGCGGATATTTGGATAGCTTTGAGGATTTCGTTGGAAACGGGCTTACATATAAAAATTAGACAGCAGCATTCTCAGAAACTTCTTTGTGGTGTCTGCACTCAAGTCACAGAATTGAACATCCCCTCACATAGAGCAGTTGTGCAGCACTCTATTTGTAGTATCTCGAAGTGGACATTTGGAGGGCTTTGTAGCCTATCTATGTAGAAAAAGGAAATATCTTCCCATGAATGCGAGATAGAAGTAATCTCAGAAACATGTTTATGCTGTATCTACTCAACTAACTGTGCTGAACATTTCTATTGATAGAGCAGTTTTGAGACACTCTTCTTTTGGAATCTGCAAGTGGATATTTGGCTAGATTTGAGGATTTCGTTGGAAACGGGATTATATATAAAAAGTAGACAGCAGCATTCTCAGAAACTTCTTTGTGATGTTTGCATCCAGCTCTCAGAGTTGAATATTCCCTTTCATAGAGTAGGTTTGAAACCCCCTTTTTGTAGTGTCTGGAAGCGGGCATTTGGAGCGCTTTCAGGCCTATGCTGAAAAAGGAAATATCTACCTATAGAAACTAGACAGAAGCATTCTGAGAATCTCGTTTGTGATGTGGGTACTCAACTAACAGTGTTGATCCATTCTTTTGATACAGCAGTTTTGAACCACCCTTTTTGTAGAATCTGCAAGTGGATATTTGGATAGCTGTGAGGATTTCGTTGGAAACGGGAATGTCTTCATAGAAAATTTAGACAGAAGCATTCTCAGAACCTTGATTGTGATGTGTGTTCTCCACTAACAGAGTTGAACCTTTCTTTTGACAGAACTGTTCTGAAACATTCTTTTTATAGAATCTGGAAGTGGATATTTGGAAAGCTTTGAGGATTTCGTTGGAAACGGGAATATCTTCAAATCAAATCTAGCCAGAAGCATTCTAAGAAACAACTTAGGGATGTTTACATTCAAGTCACAGAGTTGAACATTCCCTTTCACAGAGCAGGTTTGAAACAATCTTCTCGTACTATCTGGAAGTGGACATTTTGAGCTCCTTGGGGCCTATGCTGAAAAAGGAAATATCTTCCGACAAAAACTAGACAGAAGCATTCGCAGAATCACGTTTGTGATGTGTGCACTCAACTGTCAGAATTGAACCTTGGTTTGGACAGAGCACTTTTGAAACACTCTTTTTGTAGAATCTGCAGGTGGATATTTGGCTAGCTTTGAGGATTTCGTTGGAAACGGTAATGTCTTCAAAGAAAATCTAGACAGAAGCATTCTCAGAAACACCTTCGTGATGTTTGCAATCAAGTCACAGACTTGAACCTTCCGTTTCATAGAGCAGGTTGGAAACACTCTTTTTGTAGTATCTGGAAGTGGACATTTGGAGGGCTTTGTAGCCTATCTGGAAAAAGGAAATATCTTCCCATGAATGCGAGATAGAAGTAATCTCAGAAACATGTTTATGCTGTATCTACTCAACTAACTGTGCTGAACATTTCTATTGATAGAGCAGTTTTGAGACACTCTTCTTTTGGAATCTGCAAGTGGATATTTGGATAGATTTGAGGATTTCGTTGGAAACGGGATTATATATAAAAAGTAGACAGCAGCATTCTCAGAAACTTCTTTGTGATGTTTGCATCCAGCTCTCAGAGTTGAACATTCCCTTTCATAGAGTAGGTTTGAAACCCTCTTTTTATAGTGTCTGGAAGCGGGCATTTGGAGCGCTTTCAGGCCTATGCTTAAAATAGGAAATATCTACCTACAGAAACTAGACAGAAGCATTCTGAGAATCACGTTTGTGATGTGGGTACTCAACTAACAGTGTTGATCCATTCTTTTGATACAGCAGTTTTGAACCACACTTTTTGTAGAATCTGCAAGAGGATATTTGGATAGCTGTGAGGATTTCGTTGGAAACGGGAATGTCTTCAAAGAAAATCTAGACAGAAGCATTCTCAGAAACACCTTCGTGATGTTTGCAATCAAGTCACAGAGTTGAACCTTCCGTTTCATAGAGCAGGTTGGAAACACTCTTATTGTAGTATCTGGAAGTGGACATTTGGAGCGCTTTCAGGCCTATGGTGAAAAAGGAAATATCTTCCCATAAAAACGACATAGAAGCTATCTCAGGAACTTGTTTATGATGCATCTAATCAACTAACAGTGTTGAACCTTTGTACTGACAGAGCAGTTTGAAACACTCTTTTTTTGGAATCTGCAAGTGGATATTTGGATCGCTTTGAGGATTTCGTTGGAAACGGGATGCAATATAAAACGTACACAGCAGCATACTCAGAAAATACTTTGCCATATTTCCATTCAAGTCACAGAGTGGAACATTCCCATTCATAGAGCAGGTTGGAAACACTCTTTTTGGAGTATCTGGAAGTGGACATTTGGAGCGCTTTCTGAACTATGGTGAAAAAGGAAATATCTTCCAATGAAAACAAGACAGAAGCATTCTGAGAAACTTATTTGTGATGTGTGTCCTCAACAAACGGACTTGAACCTTTCGTTTCATGCAGTACTTCTGGAACACTCTTTTTGAAGATTCTGCATGCGGATATTTGGATAGCTTTGAGGATTTCGTTGGAAACGGGCTTACATGTAAAAATTAGACAGCAGCATTCTCAGAAACTTCTTTGTGGTGTCTGCATTCAAGTCACAGAATTGAACTTCCCCTCACATAGAGCAGTTGTGCAGCACTCTATTTGTAGTATCTCGAAGTGGACATTTGGAGGGCTTTGTAGCCTATCTGGAAAAAGGAAATATCTTCCCATGAATGCGAGATAGAAGTAATCTCAGAAACATGTTTATGCTGTATCTTCTCAACTAACTGTGCTGAACATTTCTATTGATAGAGCAGTTTTGAGACACTCTTCTTTTGGAATCTGCAAGTGGATATTTGGATAGATTTGAGGATTTCGTTGGAAACGGGATTATATATAAAAAGTAGACAGCAGCATTCTCAGAAACTTCTTTGTGATGTTTGCATCCAGCTCTCAGAGTTGAACATTCCCTTTCATAGAGTAGGTTTGAAACCCTCTTTTTATAGTGTCTGGAAGCGGGCATTTGGAGCGCTTTCAGGCCTATGCTGAAAAAGGAAATATCTACCTATAGAAACTAGACAGAAGCATTCTGAGAATCACGTTTGTGATGTGAGTACTCAACTAACAGTGTTGATCCATTCTTTTGATACAGCAGTTTTGAACCACACTTTTTGTAGAATCTGCAAGTGGATATTTGGATAGCTGTGAGGATTTCGTTGGAAACGGGAATGTCTTCATAGAAAATTTAGACAGAAGCATTCTCAGAACCTTGATTGTGATGTGTGTTCTCCACTAACAGAGTTGAACCTTTCTTTTGACAGAACTGTTCTGAAACATTCTTTTTATAGAATCTGGAAGTGGATATTTGGAAAGCTTTGAGGATTTCGTTGGAAACGGGAATATCTTCAAATCAAATCTAGCCAGAAGCATTCTAAGAAACATCTTAGGGATGTTTACATTCAAGTCACAGAGTTGAACATTCCCTTTCACAGAGCAGGTTTGAAACAATCTTCTCGTACTATCTGGCAGTGGACATTTTGAGCTCCTTGGGGCCTATGCTGAAAAAGGAAATATCTTCCGACAAAAACTAGACAGAAGCATTCGCAGAATCACGTTTGTGATGTGTGCACTCAACTGTCAGAATTGAACCTTGGTTTGGAGAGAGCACTTTTGAAACACTCTTTTTGTAGAATCTGCAGGTGGATATTTGGCTAGCTTTGAGGATTTCGTTGGAAACGGTAATGTCTTCAAAGAAAATCTAGACAGAAGCATTCTCAGAAACACCTTCGTGATGTTTGCAATCAAGTCACAGAGTTGAACCTTCCGTTTCATAGAGCAGGTTGGAAACACTCTTTTTGTAGTATCTGGAAGTGGACATTTGGAGGGCTTTGTAGCCTATCTGGAAAAAGGAAATATCTTCCCATGAATGCGAGATAGAAGTAATCTCAGAAACATGTTTATGCTGTATCTACTCAACTAACTGTGCTGAACATTTCTATTGATAGAGCAGTTTTGAGACACTCTTCTTTTGGAATCTGCAAGTGGATATTTGGAGAGATTTGAGGATTTCGTTGGAAACGGGATTATATATAAAAAGTAGACAGCAGCATTCTCAGAAACTTCTTTGTGATGTTTGCATCCAGCTCTCAGAGTTGAACATTCCCTTTCATAGAGTAGGTTTGAAACCCTCTTTTTATAGTGTCTGGAAGCGGGCATTTGGAGCGCTTTCAGGCCTATGCTTAAAATAGGAAATATCTACCTACAGAAACTAGACAGAAGCATTCTGAGAATCACGTTTGTGATGTGGGTACTCAACTAACAGTGTTGATCCATTCTTTTGATACAGCAGTTTTGAACCACACTTTTTGTAGAATCTGCAAGAGGATATTTGGATAGCTGTGAGGATTTCGTTGGAAACGGGAATGTCTTCAAAGAAAATCTAGACAGAAGCATTCTCAGAAACACCTTCGTGATGTTTGCAATCAAGTCACAGAGTTGAACCTTCCGTTTCATAGAGCAGGTTGGAAACACTCTTATTGTAGTATCTGGAAGTGGACATTTGGAGCGCTTTCAGGCCTATGGTGAAAAAGGAAATATCTTCCCATAAAAACGACATAGAAGCTATCTCAGGAACTTGTTTATGAGGCATCTAATCAACTAACAGTGTTGAACCTTTGTACTGACAGAGCAGTTTGAAACACTCTTTTTTTGGAATCTGCAAGTGGATATTTGGATCGCTTTGAGGATTTCGTTGGAAACGGGATGCAATATAAAACGTACACAGCAGCATACTCAGAAAATTCTTTGCCATATTTCCATTCAAGTCACAGAGTGGAACATTCCCATTCATAGAGCAGGTTGGAAACACTCTTTTTGGAGTATCTGGAAGTGGACATTTGGAGCGCTTTCTGAACTATGGTGAAAAAGGAAATATCTTCCAATGAAAACAAGACAGAAGCATTCTGAGAAACTTATTTGTGATGTGTGTCCTCAACAAACGGACTTGAACCTTTCGTTTCATGCAGTACTTCTGGAACACTCTTTTTGAAGATTCTGCATGCGGATATTTGGATAGCTTTGAGGATTTCGTTGGAAACGGGCTTACATGTAAAAATTATACAGCAGCATTCTCAGAAACTTCTTTGTGGTGTCTGCATTCAAGTCACAGAATTGAACATCCCCTCACATAGAGCAGTTGTGCAGCACTCTATTTGTAGTATCTGGAAGTGGACATTTGGAGGGCTTTGTAGCCTATCTGGAAAAAGGAAATATCTTCCCATGAATGCGAGATAGAAGTAATCTCAGAAACATGTTTATGCTGTATCTACTCAACTAACTGTGCTGAACATTTCTATTGATAGAGCAGTTTTGAGACCCTCTTCTTTTGGAATCTGCAAGTGGATATTTGGATAGATTTGAGGATTTCGTTGGAAACGGGATTATATATAAAAAGTAGACAGCAGCATTCTCAGAAACTTCTTTGTGATGTTTGCATCCAGCTCTCAGAGTTGAACATTCCCTTTCATAGAGTAGGTTTGAAACCCTCTTTTTATAGTGTCTGGAAGCGGGCATTTGGAGCGCTTTCAGGCCTATGCTTAAAATAGGAAATATCTACCTACAGAAACTAGACAGAAGCATTCTGAGAATCACGTTTGTGATGTGGGTACTCAACTAACAGTGTTGATCCATTCTTTTGATACAGCAGTTTTGAACCACACTTTTTGTAGAATCTGCAAGTGGATATTTGGATAGCTGTGAGGATTTCGTTGGAAACGGGAATGTCTTCATAGAAAATGTAGACAGAAGCATTCTCAGAACCTTGATTGTGATGTGTGTTCTCCACTAACAGAGTTGAACCTTTCTTTTGACAGAACTGTTCTGAAACATTCTTTTTATAGAATCTGGAAGTGGATATTTGGAAAGCTTTGAGGATTTCGTTGGAAACGGGAATATCTTCAAATAAAATCTAGCCAGAAGCATTCTAAGAAACATCTTAGGGATGTTTACATTCAAGTCACAGAGTTGAACATTCCCTTTCACAGAGCAGGTTTGAAACAATCTTCTCGTACTATCTGGAAGTGGACATTTTGAGCTCCTTGGGGCCTATGCTGAAAAAGGAAATATCTTCCGACAAAAACTAGACAGAAGCATTCGCAGAATCACGTTTGTGATGTGTGCACTCAACTGTCAGAATTGAACCTTGGTTTGGACAGAGCACTTTTGAAACACTCTTTTTGTAGAATCTGCAGGTGGATATTTGGCTAGCTTTGAGGATTTCGTTGGAAACGGTAATGTCTTCAAAGAAAATCTAGACAGAAACATCCTCAGAAACACCTTCGTGATGTTTGCAATCAAGTCACAGAGTTGAACCTTCCGTTTCATAGAGCAGGTTGGAAACACTCTTTTTGTAGTATCTGGAAGTGGACATTTGGAGCGCTTTCAGGCCTATGGTGAAAAAGGAAATATCTTCCCATAAAAACGACATAGAATCTATATCAGGAACTTGTTTATGATGCATCTAATCAACTAACAGTGTTGAACCTTTGTACTGACAGAGCAGTTTGAAACACTCTTTTTTTGGAATCTGCAAGTGGATATTTGGATCGCTTTGAGGATTTCGTTGGAAACGGGATGCAATATAAAACGTACACAGCAGCATACTCAGAAAATACTTTGCCATATTTCCATTCAAGTCACAGAGTGGAACATTCCCATTCATAGAGCAGGTTGGAAACACTCTTTTTGGAGTATCTGGAAGTGGACATTTGGAGCGCTTTCTGAACTATGGTGAAAAAGGAAATATCTTCCAATGAAAACAAGACAGAAGCATTCTGAGAAACTTATTTGTGATGTGTGTCCTCAACAAACGGACTTGAACCTTTCGTTTCATGCAGTACTTCTGGAACACTCTTTTTGAAGATTCTGCATGCGGATATTTGGATAGCTTTGAGGATTTCGTTGGAAACGGGCTTACATGTAAAAATTAGACAGCAGCATTCTCAGAAACTTCTTTGTGGTGTCTGCATTCAAGTCACAGAATTGAACTTCCCCTCACATAGAGCAGTTGTGCAGCACTCTATTTGTAGTATCTGGAAGTGGACATTTGGAGGGCTTTGTAGCCTATCTGGAAAAAGGAAATATCTTCCCATGAATGCGAGATAGAAGTAATCTCAGAAACATGTTTATGCTGTATCTACTCAACTAACTGTGCTGAACATTTCTATTGATAGAGCAGTTTTGAGACACTCTTCTTTTGGAATCTGCAAGTGGATATTTGGATAGATTTGAGGATTTCGTTGGAAACGGGATTATATATAAAAAGTAGACAGCAGCATTCTCAGAAACTTCTTTGTGATGTTTGCATCCAGCTCTCAGAGTTGAACATTCCCTTTCATAGAGTAGGTTTGAAACCCCCTTTTTATAGTGTCTGGAAGCGGGCATTTGGAGCGCTTTCAGGTCTGTGCTGAAAAAGGAAATATCTACCTACAGAAACTAGCAGAAGCATTCTGAGAATCACGTTTTTGATGTGGGTACTCAACTAACAGTGTTGATCCATTCTATTGATACAGCAGTTTTGAACCACCCTTTTTGTAGAATCTGCAAGTGGATATTTGGATAGCTGTGAGGATTTCGTTGGAAACGGGAATGTCTTCATAGAAAATTTAGACAGAAGCATTCTCAGAACCTTGATTGTGATGTGTGTTCTCCACTAACAGAGTTGAACCTTTCTTTTGACAGAACTGTTCTGAAACATTCTTTTTATAGAATCTGGAAGTGGATATTTGGAAAGCTTTGAGGATTTCGTTGGAAACGGGAATATCTTCAAATAAAATCTAGCCAGAAGCATTCTAAGAAACATCTTAGGGATGTTTACATTCAAGTCACAGAGTTGAACATTCCCTTTCACAGAGCAGGTTTGAAACAATCTTCTCGTACTATCTGGCAGTGGACATTTTGAGCTCCTTGGGGCCTATGCTGAAAAAGGAAATATCTTCCGACAAAAACTAGACAGAAGCATTCGCAGAATCACGTTTGTGATGTGTGCACTCAACTGTCAGAATTGAACCTTGGTTTGGACAGAGCACTTTTGAAACACTCTTTTTGTAGAATCTGCAGGTGGATATTTGGCTAGCTTTGAGGATTTCGTTGGAAACGGTAATGTCTTCAAAGAAAATCTAGACAGAAACATCCTCAGAAACACCTTCGTGATGTTTGCAATCAAGTCACAGAGTTGAACCTTCCGTTTCATAGAGCAGGTTGGAAACACTCTTTTTGTAGTATCTGGAAGTGGACATCTGGAGCGCTTTCAGGCCTATGGTGAAAAAGGAAATAGCTTCCCATAAAAACGACATAGAAGCTATCTCAGGAACTTGTTTATGATGCATCTAATCAACTAACAGTGTTGAACCTTTGTACTGACAGAGCAGTTTGAAACACTCTTTTTTTGGAATCTGCAAGTGGATATTTGGATCGCTTTGAGGATTTCGTTGGAAACGGGATGCAATATAAAACGTACACAGCAGCATACTCAGAAAATACTTTGCCATATTTCCATTCAAGTCACAGAGTGGAACATTCCCATTCATAGAGCAGGTTTGAAACACTCTTTTTGGAGTATCTGGAAGTGGACATTTGGAGCGCTTTCTGAACTATGGTGAAAAAGGAAATATCTTCCAATGAAAACAAGACAGAAGCATTCTGAGAAACTTATTTGTGATGTGTGTCCTCAACAAACGGACTTGAACCTTTCGTTTCATGCAGTACTTCTGGAACACTCTTTTTGAAGATTCTGCATGCGGATATTTGGATAGCTTTGAGGATTTCGTTGGAAACGGGCTTACATGTAAAAATTAGACAGCAGCATTCTCAGAAACTTCTTTGTGGTGTCTGCATTCAAGTCACAGAATTGAACTTCCCCTCACATAGAGCAGTTGTGCAGCACTCTATTTGTAGTATCTGGAAGTGGACATTTGGAGGGCTTTGTAGCCTATCTGGAAAAAGGAAATATCTTCCCATGAATGCGAGATAGAAGTAATCTCAGGAAACATGTTTATGCTGTATCTACTCAACTAACTGTGCTGAACATTTCTATTGATAGAGCAGTTTTGAGACACTCTTCTTTTGGAATCTGCAAGTGGATATTTGGAGAGATTTGAGGATTTCGTTGGAAACGGGATTATATATAAAAAGTAGACAGCAGCATTCTCAGAAACTTCTTTGTGATGTTTGCATCCAGCTCTCAGAGTTGAACATTCCCTTTCATAGAGTAGGTTTGAAACCCTCTTTTTATAGTGTCTGGAAGCGGGCATTTGGAGCGCTTTCAGGCCTATGCTGAAAAAGGAGATATCTACCTATAGAAACTAGACAGAAGCATTCTGAGAATCACGTTTGTGATGTGGGTACTCAACTAACAGTGTTGATCCATTCTTTTGATACAGCAGTTTTGAACCACACTTTTTGTAGAATCTGCAAGTGGATATTTGGATAGCTGTGAGGATTTCGTTGGAAACGGGAATGTCTTCATAGAAAATTTAGAGAGAAGCATTCTCAGAACCTTGATTGTGATGTGTGTTCTCCACTAACAGAGTTGAACCTTTCTTTTGACAGAACTGTTCTGAAACATTCTTTTTATAGAATCTGGAAGTGGATATTTGGAAAGCTTTGAGGATTTCGTTGGAAACGGGAATATCTTCAAATAAAATCTAGCCAGAAGCATTCTAAGAAACATCTTAGGGATGTTTACATTCAAGTCACAGAGTTGAACATTCCCTTTCACAGAGCAGGTTTGAAACAATCTTCTCGTACTATCTGGCAGTGGACATTTTGAGCTCCTTGGGGCCTATGCTGAAAAAGGAAATATCTTCCGACAAAAACTAGACAGAAGCATTCGCAGAATCACGTTTGTGATGTGTGCACTCAACTGTCAGAATTGAACCTTGGTTTGGACAGAGCACTTTTGAAACACTCTTTTTGTAGAATCTGCAGGTGGATATTTGGCTAGCTTTGAGGATTTCGTTGGAAACGGTAATGTCTTCAAAGAAAATCTAGACAGAAACATCCTCAGAAACACCTTCGTGATGTTTGCAATCAAGTCACAGAGTTGAACCTTCCGTTTCATAGAGCAGGTTGGAAACACTCTTTTTGTAGTATCTGGAAGTGGACATCTGGAGCGCTTTCAGGCCTATGGTGAAAAAGGAAATAGCTTCCCATAAAAACGACATAGAAGCTATCTCAGGAACTTGTTTATGATGCATCTAATCAACTAACAGTGTTGAACCTTTGTACTGACAGAGCAGTTTGAAACACTCTTTTTTTGGAATCTGCAAGTGGATATTTGGATCACTTTGAGGATTTCGTTGGAAACGGGATGCAATATAAAACGTACACAGCAGCATACTCAGAAAATACTTTGCCATATTTCCATTCAAGTCACAGAGTGGAACATTCCCATTCATAGAGCAGGTTGGAAACACTCTTTTTGGAGTATCTGGAAGTGGACATTTGGAGCGCTTTCTGAACTATGGTGAAAAAGGAAATATCTTCCAATGAAAACAAGACAGAAGCATTCTGAGAAACTTATTTGTGATGTGTGTCCTCAACAAACGGACTTGAACCTTTCGTTTCATGCAGTACTTCTGGAACACTCTTTTTGAAGATTCTGCATGCGGATATTTGGATAGCTTTGAGGATTTCGTTGGAAACGGGCTTACATGTAAAAATTAGACAGCAGCATTCTCAGAAACTTCTTTGTGGTGTCTGCATTCAAGTCACAGAATTGAACATCCCCTCACATAGAGCAGTTGTGCAGCACTCTATTTGTAGTATCTGGAAGTGGACATTTGGAGGGCTTTGTAGCCTATCTGGAAAAAGGAAATATCTTCCCATGAATGCGAGATAGAAGTAATCTCAGAAACATGTTTATGCTGTATCTACTCAACTAACTGTGCTGAACATTTCTATTGATAGAGCAGTTTTGAGACACTCTTCTTTTGGAATCTGCAAGTGGATATTTGGATAGATTTGAGGATTTCGTTGGAAACGGGATATATATAAAAAGTAGACAGCAGCATTCTCAGAAACTTCTTTGTGATGTTTGCATCCAGCTCTCAGAGTTGAACATTCCCTTTCATAGAGTAGGTTTGAAACCCTCTTTTTATAGTGTCTGGAAGCGGGCATTTGGAGCGCTTTCAGGCCTATGCTTAAAATAGGAAATATCTACCTACAGAAACTAGACAGAAGCATTCTGAGAATCACGTTTGTGATGTGGGTACTCAACTAACAGTGTTGATCCATTCTTTTGACACAGCAGTTTTGAACCACACTTTTTGTAGAATCTGCAAGAGGATATTTGGATAGCTGTGAGGATTTCGTTGGAAACGGGGATGTCTTCAAAGAAAATCTAGACAGAAGCATTCTCAGAAACACCTTCGTGATGTTTGCAATCAAGTCACAGAGTTGAACCTTCCGTTTCATAGAGCAGGTTGGAAACACTCTTATTGTAGTATCTGGAAGTGGACATTTGGAGCGCTTTCAGGCCTATGGTGAAAAAGGAAATATATTCCCATAAAAACGACATAGAAGCTATCTCAGGAACTTGTTTATGATGCATCTAATCAACTAACAGTGTTGAACCTTTGTACTGACAGAGCACTTTGAAACACTCTTTTTTTGGAATCTGCAAGTGGATATTTGGATCGCTTTGAGGATTTCGTTGGAAACGGGATGCAATATAAAACGTACACAGCAGCATACTCAGAAAATACTTTGCCATATTTCCATTCAAGTCACAGAGTGGAACATTCCCATTCATAGAGCAGGTTGGAAACACTCTTTTTGGAGTATCTGGAAGTGGACATTTGGAGCGCTTTCTGAACTATGGTGAAAAAGGAAATATCTTCCAATGAAAACAAGACAGAAGCATTCTGAGAAACTTATTTGTGATGTGTGTCCTCAACAAACGGACTTGAACCTTTCGTTTCATGCAGTACTTCTGGAACACTCTTTTTGAAGATTCTGCATGCGGATATTTGGATAGCTTTGAGGATTTCGTTGGAAACGGGCTTACATGTAAAAATTAGACAGCAGCATTCTCAGAAACTTCTTTGTGGTGTCTGCATTCAAGTCACAGAATTGAACTTCCCCTCACATAGAGCAGTTGTGCAGCACTCTATTTGTAGTATCTGGAAGTGGACATTTGGAGGGCTTTGTAGCCTATCTGGAAAAAGGAAATATCTTCCCATGAATGCGAGATAGAAGTAATCTCAGAAACATGTTTATGCTGTATCTAATCAACTAACTGTGCTGAACATTTCTATTGATAGAGCAGTTTTGAGACACTCTTCTTTTGGAATCTGCAAGTGGATATTTGGATAGATTTGAGGATTTCGTTGGAAACGGGATTATATATAAAAAGTAGACAGCAGCATTCTCAGAAACTTCTTTGTGATGTTTGCATCCAGCTCTCAGAGTTGAACATTCCCTTTCATAGAGTAGGTTTGAAACCCTCTTTTTATAGTGTCTGGAAGCGGGCATTTGGAGCGCTTTCTGGCCTATGCTTAAAATAGGAAATATCTACCTACAGAAACTAGACAGAAGCATTCTGAGAATCACGTTTGTGATGTGGGTACTCAACTAACAGTGTTGATCCATTCTTTTGATACAGCAGTTTTGAACCACACTTTTTGTAGAATCTGCAAGTGGATATTTGGATAGCTGTGAGGATTTCGTTGGAAACGGGAATGTCTTCATAGAAAATTTAGACAGAAGCATTCTCAGAACCTTGATTGTGATGTGTGTTCTCCACTAACAGAGTTGAACCTTTCTTTTGACAGAACTGTTCTGAAACATTCTTTTTATAGAATCTGGAAGTGGATATTTGGAAAGCTTTGAGGATTTCATTGGAAACGGGAATATCTTCAAATCAAATCTAGCCAGAAGCATTCTAAGAAACAGCTTAGGGATGTTTACATTCAAGTCACAGAGTTGAACATTCCCTTTCACAGAGCAGGTTTGAAACAATCTTCTCGTACTATCTGGCAGTGGACATTTTGAGCTCCTTTGGGCCTATGGTGAAAAAGGAAAAATCTTCCGACAAAAACTAGACAGAAGCATTCGCAGAATCACGTTTGTGATGTGTGCACTCAACTGTCAGAATTGAACCTTGGTTTGGACAGAGCACTTTTGAAACACTCTTTTTGTAGAATCTGCAGGTGGATATTTGGCTAGCTTTGAGGATTTCGTTGGAAACGGTAATGTCTTCAAAGAAAATCTAGACAGAAGCATTCTCAGAAACACCTTCGTGATTTTTGCAATCAAGTCACAGAGTTGAACCTTCCGTTTCATAGAGCAGGTTGGAAACACTCTTTTTGTAGTATCTGGAAGTGGACATTTGGAGGGCTTTGTAGCCTTTCTGGAAAAAGGAAATATCTTCCCATGAATGCGAGATAGAAGTAATCTCAGAAACATGTTTATGCTGTATCTACTCAACTAACTGTGCTGAACATTTCTATTGATAGAGCAGTTTTGAGACACTCTTCTTTTGGAATCTGCAAGTGGATATTTGGATAGATTTGAGGATTTCGTTGGAAACGGGATTATATATAAAAAGTTGAGAGCAGCATTCTCAGAAACTTCTTTGTGATATTTGCATCCAGCTCTCAGAGTTGAACATTCCCTTTCATAGAGTAGGTTTGAAACCCTCTTTTTATAGTGTCTGGAAGCGGGCATTTGGAGCGCTTTCAGGCCTATGCTTAAAATAGGAAATATCTACCTACAGAAACTAGACAGAAGCATTCTGAGAATCACGTTTGTGATGTGGGTACTCAACTAACAGTGTTGATCCATTCTTTTGATACAGCAGTTTTGAACCACACTTTTTGTAGAATCTGCAAGAGGATATTTGGATAGCTGTGAGGATTTCGTTGGAAACGGGAATGTCTTCAAAGAAAATCTAGACAGAAGCATTCTCAGAAACACCTTCGTGATGTTTGCAATCAAGTCACAGAGTTGAACCTTCCGTTTCATAGAGCAGGTTGGAAACACTCTTATTGTAGTATCTGGAAGTGGACATTTGGAGCGCTTTCAGGCCTATGGTGAAAAAGGAAATATCTTCCCATAAAAACGACATAGAAGCTATCTCAGGAACTTTTTTATGATGCATCTAATCAACTAACAGTGTTGAACCTTTGTACTGACAGAGCAGTTTGAAACACTCTTTTTTTGGAATCTGCAAGTGGATATTTGGATCGCTTTGAGGATTTCGTTGGAAACGGGATGCAATATAAAACGTACACAGCAGCATACTCAGAAAATACTTTGCCATATTTCCATTCAAGTCACAGAGTGGAACATTCCCATTCATAGAGCAGGTTGGAAACACTCTTTTTGGAGTATCTGGAAGTGGACATTTGGAGCGCTTTCTGAACTATGGTGAAAAAGGAAATATCTTCCAATGAAAACAAGACAGAAGCATTCTGAGAAACTTATTTGTGATGTGTGTCCTCAACAAACGGACTTGAACCTTTCGTTTCATGCAGTACTTCTGGAACACTCTTTTTGAAGATTCTGCATGCGGATATTTGGATAGCTTTGAGGATCTCGTTGGAAACGGGCTTACATGTAAAAATTAGACAGCCAGCATTCTCAGAAACTTCTTTGTGGTGTCTGCATTCAAGTCACAGAATTGAACTTCACCTCACATAGAGCAGTTGTGCAGCACTCTATTTGTAGTATCTGGAAGTGGACATTTGGAGGGCTTTGTAGCCTATCTGGAAAAAGGAAATATCTTCCCATGAATGCGAGATAGAGTAATCTCAGAAACATGTTTATGCTGTATCTACTCAACTAACTGTGCTGAACATTTCTATTGATAGAGCAGTTTTGAGACACTCTTCTTTTGGAATCTGCAAGTGGATATTTGGATAGATTTGAGGATTTCGTTGGAAACGGGATTATATATAAAAAGTAGACAGCAGCATTCTCAGAAACTTCTTTGTGATGTTTGCATCCAGCTCTCAGAGTTGAACATTCCCTTTCATAGAGTAGGTTTGAAACCCTCTTTTTATAGTGTCTGGAAGCGGGCATTTGGAGCGCTTTCAGGCCTATGCTTAAAATAGGAAATATCTACCTACAGAAACTAGACAGAAGCATTCTGAGAATCACGTTTGTGATGTGGGTACTCAACTAACAGTGTTGATCCATTCTTTTGACACAGCAGTTTTGAACCACACTTTTTGTAGAATCTGCAAGAGGATATTTGGATAGCTGTGAGGATTTCGTTGGAAACGGGGATGTCTTCAAAGAAAATCTAGACAGAAGCATTCTCAGAACCTTGATTGTGATGTGTGTTCTCCACTAACAGAGTTGAACCTTTCTTTTGACAGAACTGTTCTGAAACATTCTTTTTATAGAATCTGGAAGTGGATATTTGGAAAGCTTTGAGGATTTCGTTGGAAACGGGAATATCTTCAAATCAAATCTAGCCAGAAGCATTCTAAGAAACATCTTAGGGATGTTTACATTCAAGTCACAGAGTTGAACATTCCCTTTCACAGAGCAGGTTTGAAACAATCTTCTCGTACTATCTGGCAGTGGACATTTTGAGCTCCTTGGGGCCTATGCTGAAAAAGGAAATATCTTCCGACAAAAACTAGACAGAAGCATTCGCAGAATCACGTTTGTGATGTGTGCACTCAACTGTCAGAATTGAACCTTGGTTTGGACAGAGCACTTTTGAAACACTCTTTTTGTAGAATCTGCAGGTGGATATTTGGCTAGCTTTGAGGATTTCGTTGGAAACGGTAATGTCTTCAAAGAAAATCTAGACAGAAGCATTCTCAGAAACACCTTCGTGATGTTTGCAATCAAGTCACAGAGTTGAACCTTCCGTTTCATAGAGCAGGTTGGAAACACTCTTTTTGTAGTATCTGGAAGTGGACATTTGGAGGGCTTTCTGAACTATGGTGAAAAGGGAAATATGTTCCAATGAAAACAAGACAGAAGCATTCTGAGAAACTTATTTGTGATGCGTGTCCTCAACTAACGGACTCGAAGCTTTCGTTTCATGCAGTACTTCTGGAACACTCTTTTTGAAGATTCTGCATGCGGATATTTGGATAGCTTTGAGGATTTCGTTGGAAACGGGCTTACATGTAAAAATTAGACAGCAGCATTCTCAGAAACTTCTTTGTGGTGTCTGCATTCAAGTCACAGAATTGAACTTCCCCTCACATAGAGCAGTTGTGCAGCACTCTATTTGTAGTATCTGGAAGTGGACATTTGGAGGGCTTTGTAGCCTATCTGGAAAAAGGAAATATCTTCCCATGAATGCGAGATAGAAGTAATCTCAGAAACATGTTTATGCTGTATCTACTCAACTAACTGTGCTGAACATGTCTATTGATAGAGCAGTTTTGAGACACTCTTCTTTTGGAATCTGCAAGTGGATATTTGGATAGATTTGAGGATTTCGTTGGAAACGGGATTATATATAAAAAGTAGACAGCAGCATTCTCAGAAACTTCTTTGTGATGTTTGCATCCAGCTCTCAGAGTTGAACATTCCCTTTCGTAGAGTAGGTTTGAAACCCTCTTTTTATAGTGTCTGGAAGCGGGCATTTGGAGCGCTTTCAGGCCTATGCTGAAAAAGGAAATATCTACCTATAGAAACTAGACAGAAGCATTCTGAGAATCACGTTTGTGATGTGGGTACTCAACTAACAGTGTTGATCCATTCTTTTGATACAGCAGTTTTGAACCACACTTTTTGTAGAATCTGCAAGTGGATATTTGGATAGCTGTGAGGATTTCCTTGGAAACGGGAATGTCTTCATAGAAAATTTAGACAGAAGCATTCTCAGAACCTTGATTGTGATGTGTGTTCTCCACTAACAGGGTTGAACCTTTCTTTTGACAGAACTGTTCCGAAACATTCTTTTTATAGAATCTGGAAGTGGATATTTGGAAAGCTTTGAGGATTTCGATGGAAACGGGAATATCTTCAAATCAAATCTAGCCAGAAACATTCTAAGAAACATCTTAGGGATGTTTACATTCAAGTCACAGAGTTGAACATTCCCTTTCACAGAGCAGGTTTGAAACAATCTTCTCGTACTATCTGGAAGTGGACATTTTGAGCTCCTTGGGGCCTATGCTGAGAAAGGAAATATCTTCCGACAAAAACAAGACAGAAGCATTCGCAGAATCACGTTTGTGATGTGTGCACTCAACTGTCAGAATTGAACCTTGGTTTGGACAGAGCACTTTTGAAACACTCTTTTTGTAGAATCTGCAGGTGGATATTTGGCTAGCTTTGAGGATTTCGTTGGAAACGGTAATGTCTTCAAAGAAAATCTAGACAGAAGCATTCTCAGAAACACCTTCGTGATGTTTGCAATCAAGTCACAGAGTTGAACCTTCCGTTTCATAGAGCAGGTTGGAAACACTCTTTTTGTAGTATCTGGAAGTGGACATTTGGAGTGCTTTCAGGCCTATGGTGAAAAAGGAAATATCTTCCCATAAAAACGACATAGAAGCTATCTCAGGAACTTGTTTATGATGCATCTAATCAACTAACAGTGTTGAACCTTTGTACTGACAGAGCAGTTTGAAACACTCTTTTTTTGGAATCTGCAAGTGGATATTTGGATCACTTTGAGGATTTCGTTGGAAACGGGATGCAATATAAAACGTACACAGCAGCATACTCAGAAAATACTTTGCCATATTTCCATTCAAGTCACAGAGTGGAACATTCCCATTCATAGAGCAGGTTTGAAACACTCTTTTTGGAGTATCTGGAAGTGGACATTTGGAGCGCTTTCTGAACTATGGTGAAAAAGGAAATATCTTCCAATGAAAACAAGACAGAAGCATTCTGAGAAACTTATTTGTGATGTGTGTCCTCAACAAACGGACTTGAACCTTTCGTTTCATGCAGTACTTCTGGAACACTCTTTTTGAAGATTCTGCATTCGGATATTTGGATAGCTTTGAGGATTTCGTTGGAAACGGGCTTACATGTAAAAATTAGACAGCAGCATTCTCAGAAACTTCTTTGTGGTGTCTGCATTCAAGTCACAGAATTGAACTTCCCCTCACATAGAGCAGTTGTGCAGCACTCTATTTGTAGTATCTGGAAGTGGACATTTGGAGGGCTTTGTAGCCTATCTGGAAAAAGGAAATATCTTCCCATGAATGCGAGATAGAAGTAATCTCAGAAACATGTTTATGCTGTATCTACTCAACTAACTGTGCTGAACATTTCTATTGATAGAGCAGTTTTGAGACACTCTTCTTTTGGAATCTGCAAGTGGATATTTGGATAGATTTGAGGATTTCCTTGGAAACGGGATTCTATATCAAAAGTAGACAGCAGCATTCTCAGAAACTTCTTTGTGATGTTTGCATCCAGCTCTCAGAGTTGAACATTCCCTTTCGTAGAGTAGGTTTGAAACCCTCTTTTTATAGTGTCTGGAAGCGGGCATTTGGAGCGCTTTCAGGCCTATGCTGAAAAAGGAAATATCTACCTATAGAAAGTAGACAGAAGCATTCTGAGAATCACGTTTGTGATGTGGGTACTCAACTAACAGTGTTGATCCATTCTTTTGATACAGCAGTTTTGAACCACACTTTTTGTAGAATCTGCAAGAGGATATTTGGATAGCTGTGAGGATTTCGTTGGAAACGGGAATGTCTTCAAAGAAAATCTAGACAGAAGCATTCTCAGAAACACCTTCGTGATGTTTGCAATCAAGTCACAGAGTTGAACCTTCCGTTTCATAGAGCAGGTTGGAAACACTCTTATTGTAGTATCTGGAAGTGGACATTTGGAGCGCTTTCAGGCCTATGGTGAAAAAGGAAATATCTTCCCATAAAAACGACATAGAAGCTATCTCAGGAACTTGTTTATGATGCATCTAATCAACTAACAGTGTTGAACCTTTGTACTGACAGAGCAGTTTGAAACACTCTTTTTTTGGAATCTGCAAGTGGATATTTGGATCGCTTTGAGGATTTCGTTGGAAACGGGATGCAATATAAAACGTACACAGCAGCATACTCAGAAAATACTTTGCCATATTTCCATTCAAGTCACAGAGTGGAACATTCCCATTCATAGAGCAGGTTGGAAACACTCTTTTTGGAGTATCTGGAAGTGGACATTTGGAGCGCTTTCTGAACTATGGTGAAAAAGGAAATATCTTCCAATGAAAACAAGACAGAAGCATTCTGAGAAACTTATTTGTGATGTGTGTCCTCAACAAACGGACTTGAACCTTTCGTTTCATGCAGTACTTCTGGAACACTCTTTTTGAAGATTCTGCATGCGGATATTTGGATAGCTTTGAGGATTTCGTTGGAAACGGGCTTACATGTAAAAATTAGACAGCAGCATTCTCAGAAACTTCTTTGTGGTGTCTGCATTCAAGTCACAGAATTGAACTTCCCCTCACATAGAGCAGTTGTGCAGCACTCTATTTGTAGTATCTGGAAGTGGACATTTGGAGGGCTTTGTAGCCTATCTGGAAAAAGGAAATATCTTCCCATGAATGCGAGATAGAAGTAATCTCAGAAACATGTTTATGCTGTATCTACTCAACTAACTGTGCTGAACATTTCTATTGATAGAGCAGTTTTGAGACACTCTTCTTTTGGAATCTGCAAGTGGATATTTGGATAGATTTGAGGATTTCGTTGGAAACGGGATTATATATAAAAAGTAGACAGCAGCATTCTCAGAAACTTCTTTGTGATGTTTGCATCCAGCTCTCAGAGTTGAACATTCCCTTTCATAGAGTAGGTTTGAAACCCTCTTTTTATAGTGTCTGGAAGCGGGCATTTGGAGCGCTTTCAGGCCTATGCTTAAAATAGGAAATATCTACCTACAGAAACTAGACAGAAGCATTCTGAGAATCACGTTTGTGATGTGGGTACTCAACTAACAGTGTTGATCCATTCTTTTGATACAGCAGTTTTGAACCACACTTTTTGTAGAATCTGCAAGAGGATATTTGGATAGCTGTGAGGATTTCGTTGGAAACGGGAATGTCTTCAAAGAAAATCTAGACAGAAGCATTCTCAGAAACACCTTCGTGATGTTTGCAATCAAGTCACAGAGTTGAACCTTCCGTTTCATAGAGCAGGTTGGAAACACTCTTATTGTAGTATCTGGAAGTGGACATTTGGAGCGCTTTCAGGCCTATGGTGAAAAAGGAAATATCTTCCCATAAAAACGACATAGAAGCTATCTCAGGAACTTGTTTATGATGCATCTAATCAACTAACAGTGTTGAACCTTTGTACTGACAGAGCAGTTTGAAACACTCTTTTTTTGGAATCTGCAAGTGGATATTTGGATCGCTTTGAGGATTTCGTTGGAAACGGGATGCAATATAAAACGTACACAGCAGCATACTCAGAAAATACTTTGCCATATTTCCATTCAAGTCACAGAGTGGAACATTCCCATTCATAGAGCAGGTTGGAAACACTCTTTTTGGAGTATCTGGAAGTGGACATTTGGAGCGCTTTCTGAACTATGGTGAAAAAGGAAATATCTTCCAATGAAAACAAGACAGAAGCATTCTGAGAAACTTATTTGTGATGTGTGTCCTCAACAAACGGACTTGAACCTTTCGTTTCATGCAGTACTTCTGGAACACTCTTTTTGAAGATTCTGCATGCGGATATTTGGATAGCTTTGAGGATTTCGTTGGAAACGGGCTTACATGTAAAAATTAGACAGCAGCATTCTCAGAAACTTCTTTGTGGTGTCTGCATTCAAGTCACAGAATTGAACTTCCCCTCACATAGAGCAGTTGTGCAGCACTCTATTTGTAGTATCTGGAAGTGGACATTTGGAGGGCTTTGTAGCCTATCTGGAAAAAGGAAATATCTTCCCATGAATGCGAGATAGAAGTAATCTCAGAAACATGTTTATGCTGTATCTACTCAACTAACTGTGCTGAACATTTCTATTGATAGAGCAGTTTTGAGACACTCTTCTTTTGGAATCTGCAAGTGGATATTTGGATAGATTTGAGGATTTCGTTGGAAACGGGATTATATATAAAAAGTAGACAGCAGCATTCTCAGAAACTTCTTTGTGATGTTTGCATCCAGCTCTCAGAGTTGAACATTCCCTTTCATAGAGTAGGTTTGAAACCCTCTTTTTATAGTGTCTGGAAGCGGGCATTTGGAGCGCTTTCAGGCCTATGCTGAAAAAGGAAATATCTACCTATAGAAACTAGACAGAAGCATTCTGAGAATCACGTTTGTGATGTGGGTACTCAACTAACAGTGTTGATCCATTCTTTTGATACAGCAGTTTTGAACCACACTTTTTGTAGAATCTGCAAGTGGATATTTGGATAGCTGTGAGGATTTCGTTGGAAACGGGAATGTCTTCATAGAAAATTTAGACAGAAGCATTCTCAGAAACACCTTTCGTGATGTTTGCAATCAAGTCACAGAGTTGAACCTTCCGTTTCATAGAGCAGGTTGGAAACACTCTTATTGTAGTATCTGGAAGTGGACATTTGGAGCGCTTTCAGGCCTATGGTGAAAAAGGAAATATCTTCCCATAAAAACGACATAGAATCTATATCAGGAACTTGTTTATGATGCATCTAATCAACTAACAGTGTTGAACCTTTGTACTGACAGAGCAGTTTGAAACACTCTTTTTTTGGAATCTGCAAGTGGATATTTGGATCGCTTTGAGGATTTCGTTGGAAACGGGATGCAATATAAAACGTACACAGCAGCATACTCAGAAAATACTTTGCCATATTTCCATTCAAGTCACAGAGTGGAACATTCCCATTCATAGAGCAGGTTGGAAACACTCTTTTTGGAGTATCTGGAAGTGGACATTTGGAGCGCTTTCTGAACTATGGTGAAAAAGGAAATATCTTCCAATGAAAACAAGACAGAAGCATTCTGAGAAACTTATTTGTGATGTGTGTCCTCAACAAACGGACTTGAACCTTTCGTTTCATGCAGTACTTCTGGAACACTCTTTTTGAAGATTCTGCATGCGGATATTTGGGATAGCTTTGAGGATTTCGTTGGAAACGGGCTTACATGTAAAAATTAGACAGC